>NT_167246.2:2318990-2511432 GCF_000001405.40 Homo sapiens
GGCCAAGTATTTACCCAAAAGAGACCTGAAACATTGTTTTCTTTTTCTTTCTTTTTTTTTTTTTTTTGAGACGGAGTCTCACTCTGTCACCCGGGCTGGAGTGCAGTGGTGAGATCTTGGCTCACTACAACCTCTGCCTCCCAGGTTCAAGCAATTCTCCTGCCTCAGCCTCCCAAGTAGCTGGGATTACAGGCACCCACCACTACGCCCAGCTAATTTTTTTTTATTTTTATTTTTATTAGAGATGGGGTTTCACCATGTTGATCAGGCTGGTCTCAAACTCCTAACCCGCCCGCCTTGGCTTCCCAAAGTGTTGGGATTACAGGCGTGAGCCACCAAAATTTTTTTCTTTCTTATTGTTTTTAATTCTTCCCCCAAGCTTATTGAGGTAAAATAGACAAAAATTATATGTTTTCAGCGTGTACAATGTGTTGATTTGATGAGTATACATTGTGAAATAATTACCACTATCAAACTAATGAACACATCACCAACACATATTTAACATTTCTTTTCTGTGTGTGTTAGCAAATTTCAGATAGACAATACAATATTGTTAATTATAGTCTCCATGTGATTAAAGTTCCAGAACTCATTCTTCTTATAACTGAAAGTTTGTACCCTTGACTGTTGTTTTTAATCTTTAAATTGAGGCTTAAAATATATGCAGTAAAATGTGCAGAGTGGACACATAAGTGCTCAAGTCGTTGAATTTTATTTAATTCTTTAATGTATTTATTTTAAAGAAATAGAGACAGGGTCTTGCTATGTTGCCTAGACTGCTCTTGAACTCCTGGGCTCACACAATCCTCCCACCTCAGCCTCTCAAGGTGTTGGGATTACAGGCATGAGCCACCGCACCCGGCCAATTGTTGAATCTTAACACATGCATACACTCACCTACCCACTTTCCAGATCAAGATGTGCCGCATTCTCATCACCCCAGAAGCCTCCCCTGCCTCCTCCCCATCAGTGCCACCCTAGAGGTAGCCAGTATTTTGACTTTAATCATCATCAGTTGATTTTTCCATGTACTTGACTTTCATATAATTAGAACCATACAGTATGCCTTCCAAAAGAGACACTTTTAAAAGAAAATGAAATTTCATCACCAATATTTGGCAAGCTTATACCCGTATCCTCATTTCCAACCCCAGGCTTCCCTGCCATTGGTGGGAAAGAGAGTCTGGAAACTGAGTTGGGTGAGTTATAGCAAGCCAAACTACATTTTTCCTTGCATATCTGAATTACACGGGGTAAATTTCAATCAACTGCTAGTTGTGAGCCTAGAAATAGGGACGCAGGTGAGTCAGGGTCCCTGACCTATGCTTAAGAGCCATTGCCAAAGATTGACTCAGGGAAATGGGTAGTTCCGTGCCCCATCCTCTTCCCTACTCACTTCCGCTTGATACTAGAAGTGAGACTCACTCAGTGTCCACTTTCCCCACCCTTGGAGAGCTCACAGGGAGTGGAGTGTATCACTCACGTAGCCATGTGCTGCTCTGCAGCTGGGAAGGAGCACTCTGGAGAAAGCCGGGTGTGTGTCCTGATGCTCTTATCACCCTCCAAATCCCCAGCTTCCCCTAGATAGACTGCTATTGACCTTTACCATCCATTTGTTTCCTTTTCTTCTCTTCTTCCTTCTTTCTTCTACAAAGGCCTCCTGCTTTGAAAATGAGGCATACCCAGGGAAAACAGGTTTCAGGTCAGCTCTGGTTCAAAGGGTGGGTCCCTTCCACTCCGACAAGTTTGATCCCCTCATTCTGCCTCCCTCCCTGCCCCTCCTCATGTGTGCGCCCTCTGGTCTTGCCGACTCTGCTCTCTCCTCCGCCTTGATTCCTGTAGGGTACATCTCTCCAAACGGCCCTGCAGAAAGCACAGTGCGGAAATGCCCCTCCCTGGGGAGGGAGGACCCAAAGCTCTGGCCTCCCCTACTCAGTATCAGCTATAAATGCCACAGACACGTTTGCGAGGAAAAAAGAAGAAAAATAAGAAGCCAAACTGTGGAGCAATTTGGGGGCTCCCCCCAACCATGCCATCTGCCTACAAGGCTTACCCTGGCACTGGCTGGCCTTTGGGTCTTTTTGTGCAACTTTATTTTCTATCAAGGCCCAGGGGGTTTGCCCCTTGTCTCTCTGCCTCTTTGACCTATCCTTCCTTTGGAACCCAGGCATCTAAATGACAACTTCTATGTGCATCATTTAGAGATGAGAAGAGGAAATATCTCTCCTGCTTTCTGGTTCCTGTGGCTGCTTCTCTTTGGACTTCTGGGACCCAGTAAGTGACTTAGCAGTTAAGGAGGGAGAGGGGCATGGAGGCCACATAAGCCCTGAAGGAGATGGGGAATCCCCTGCCCAGGCATGACTCTTCTTCCAGAAACAATGATGATTCATTTTTTTTTTTTTTTTTGCCCATTTCTGCAAAAGCCAGTACTGATCCCAATTCCACTGACCATGATTCTGATGCTGTCTTAGAAGCAAATCTGTATTAGTCTCCCCCAGCTGTGGTTGTGAGCACATGTGGTGGGGCGGTGGGGCGGTGCTGGGGAAATGGAGGGGGGTGAGATTTTACTTTCCTTTGTATCTTGGATAAAAGTTTTTTTTTTAACCGGAAAACTCTAGTTCCAATAGCATTCTTAATTCCAAATTAAAACCAGGATCTCAGTCTAAAGTCAAGTAAAAATCCTTCAATCCTTCTTTGTTTTTTTTCCATAGGTTATTTGGGTACAGGTGATATTTGGTTATGTAAGTGCTTTATTGGTGAATTGTGAGACTTTGGTGCACCCGTCACCAAGCAGTGTACACTGCACCCACCCTATCTGTAGTCTTTTATCTCTCGTGCCTCCCCCGTCCTTCCTCCCTAGTGCCCAAAGTCCATTGTATCATTCTCATGCGTTTGAGTCCTCACAGCTTAGCTCCCACCTCTCAGTGAGAACATACGATGTTTGGTTTTCCATTCCTGAGTAACTTCACTTAGAATAATAGTCTACAGTCTCATCCAGGTCACTGCAAATGCCATTAATTCATTCCTTTTTATGGCTGAGTAGTATTCCATCGTATATATATGCCAGTTTCTTTATCCACCGTTGATTGATGGGCATTTGGGTTCCATGACTTTGCAATTGTGAATTGTGCTGCTATAAACATGTGTGTGCAAGTGTCTTTTTTGTATAATGACTTCTTTTCCTCTGGGTAGATACCCAGTAGTGGGATTACTGGATCAAATGGTAGATCTACTTTTAGTTCTTTAAGAAATCTCCACACTGTTTTCCATAGTGACTGTACTAGTTTACATTCCCACTAGCAGTGTAGAAGTGTTCCCTGATCACTGCATCTACGCCAACATCTACTGTTTTTTGATTTTTTGCTTCAACCCTTCTTCGGATGCTGCCTGATTCCAAATCCATGTATAATCCCCTGAGAACTTCCCTGGTAGAAACAAACCGGAGTTCGGCCACTGAGGGGTTGGCTCTGACATTGGATCAGCAATGGCTGTGAAAGGAAACAGCCCAGGGGAGAAGTGAATTGGGCTCCGTGTGACTCCAGTGGGCTGTCTGAGATAGTACTGTTCACTCCAGTCTTTGATTTCTTACATCAACATATCTTCCCTAATTATGAGACACCAGGTTAACTGGCTCATCCATTCCATTGCCTTTACTGTAGGATGGCTCGTCAAGAAGTGGGAGGTGCGGTTGAAAGAGAAGGTATAGGTTGGATGATGTGGAGGATTTGGAGTGCTTCCCCCTTCTTCCTCAGTATGCATCTGTTTCCTGCACCCCACTCTGGATTCGCTCCCTCGCCCGCTTCAGCACTTCCCTCGGCGTTCTTTTTCTTCTCTTTCCCCTTGCCTTCACCCTGAATGCTTCAACTGTTCTCTACCTACCCATGCCTTCCAGATCTGCCCGTCGCCTGTCCTAATCCTGAACTCCAGTCCTATCTGTCTGATTTTAAACAAGAGTCCCCTTACCTCAGAAGAAACTGTCATTCATGTAGTCATTCAACAAACATTTATAGAGCTCCTCCTCTGGGCCAGGCACTGCTGCGTGCTAGGCCATGGGTGAGGAATGGAGTGGGAAATGCCATGGTCTTGACCCCCATGGAACACTTGGTCTACTGTAAAACATAGACTTAAATAATATTTCCTAACAAAAGGGAGCAAGTGTGCAAGGGCTGAAAGGCCCCTCCTCTTTTCCTACCACTAGATCTATAAAGTAACCAACAGTGTCTCCTGTAGCCCCATTACAGTGGATTAGCAAGGACCAACTCCTCCATCTGAATGCTGGGCGCCTTCTCACCCTCCTGCCATCTCAGGGGCTTTGCTCAGTGCATTTCTCCTTCCCCTCCCATCTCACTTTACCTTTCTTGGGTCCTTTCCATCAGCATCCAAACAAGCTCAGTTCTGTATGCACAAGTATCATCCAAGGAGACGATTAAAAACTTGGGTTTCCAGGCCCTGACACCCCACCAAGCAAGATCTTGATTCAGTAAGCTTGGTGGGATGGCGTGGGTTCTTCAGACAGTGTGATCCCAGAGGTCCCTGGACCAAACACTGAATGATGTCCATCCTAACATCCCCGCATCACTCCTCAGCCACCACCTCTCCCTCCACTCTCCTCCTCACCCCCATTCTTTTTTTTTTTTTTGGAGATGGAGTGTGGCTCTGTCGCCCAGGCTAGAGTGCAGTGCTGCAATCTCGGCTCACTGCAACCTCTGCCTCCCAGGTTCAAGCGATTCTCCTGCCTCAGCCTCCTGAGTAGCTGGGACTACAGGCGCACACCGCCACGCCCAGCTAATTTTTTGTATTTTAGTAGAGACAGGGTTTCATTGTGTTGCCCAGGCTGGACTCGAAGTCCTGAGCTCAGACAATCTACCCACCTTGGCCTCCCAAAGTGCTGGGATTACGGGTGTGAGCCACCGGGCCCGGCCCCTCACCCCCATTCTTGAAGGACTTCCCCACACTTGCTATGTCACTTCTCACCTCCCACTCACTTGTTTATTTTATTTTATTGTATTAGGTAATGGATGTAAGTAGTTCTGAAAAAGAAATACTTGTAGTCCTACAAGGCTTCTCATAAAACTTCAGCCCCTGATTCCCTTGCCCCAATTGCTTCTTATTCTGAGTCCTGCTTCCCAGGGTTCCTGTTGGCATTTACGTTCATACTGCATTTATCTATTTATTTAGAGACAAGATCTCACTCTGTCACCCAGGCAGGAATGCAGAGACACCATCATAGCTCACTGCAGCCTGGTACTCCCGGGCTCAAGGGATCCTCTCACCTCAGCTTTCCAAAGCACTGGGATTACAGGCGTGAGCCATTGCACCCGGCCATAAATTCTCTTACTACCATTACTTCTTTGTTGGTTGAGGTTTTTTGGTTTTTTTTTCCTGCTTTGGGCATGATTTATTGTCTTCCTTCTAATGAAAAGAAAGATTTAGTTTAGACCACTCCCCCTACACACTTACTGTCTCACATTCCCGCTCACAATTCTCCCCAAATGACTGTATCAAATTTTTGGTGTTAAACTAGCATTTAGTATTTACATTATGATAACTATAAATTTTACCTCTAGTAACATTTATAACTGGGTCATATAATTGCATTGTGATGACATTATAATAAGTATAAATGACCTCTAGTAACATTTATAACTGGGTCATATAATTGCATTGTGATGACCATCCGTTCTTGTAATTTTTGTTTTTCTAGATATTAATAATAGCCTCATTTTTAAAATGTCCATAGTTTTCTTCATATATGTAATTAATTCATCCCAAAACCTCCACCAGAAGTATCCCTGTCTTTTCGATACACATGAGGCAATCTATCAGTTTCACTTTTTTCCCTTGAGCAATCCCATTTGGAAGCCTCTGTCCAACCAGAGCAATCCCATTTAGAAGCCTCTGTCCAACCAGTACTGGTTGCTTGCTAGGTCTCTTGTCCTGCAATCTGTATTCAGCAACATTCTGGAAATTCCCTTTTTTCCCTTGTAAATTCTTATCTTTTTTCTGGCTTTATTTTTCCATCTTGGAGCATCACTTTCTCTAGAAGCTTCCTGAGAGAGAGAGTTTATGGTGGGAAATTATTTTAAAACCTTATGCACTGTTAGGGTAATGCTAAGCTGCTGTAACAAGGAGATCCCGAAAGTGGCTTTGAAAAACAAGTTTATTTTTCTCCCTTGTACCAGTCCTAAGGTAAGTATTATAGGATGGTGGGAGCTCTGCTCCATGCAGTCATTCAGGGATCCTGGGTGAATATGGTTCTTCCGTCTTCAACATATGGTTTCCAGTGTCATCATCATTTCAGCCCAAGGAGAGGGAAGAAAAACAGTATTTTGTATTATTTTATGATACAGTCAGTCAAAGTGCAGCCACAAGAGGAGAGGCTTACAGGCCCTAGAGACAGGAGGCATGGCACTGCCATGTGGGACCACCTGAGAAAGACACCAAGGTAGTCAGGAGGCAGAAGACAGGAGTGAAGGAAAGATTTATGTCTTTCCTTTTATTGGGTTTCTGTGGGAAAGGCAAGGAAAGGCAGGGTGAACAGTTTAGGATTGGCTGGTTTGAATAATTCCTGTGTTCTTTGAGCTATATGGCTGATTACCACCTAGTTGCCTAGTACTTGACTTTGGAATGACTAAGGCAGATAAATATTGTTTCCTGGAGTATATGGGCCAGATAGAGGAGCTATGGCTCTGGAATGGTTAGTCTGCATATCAGCTCATGCTCCTGGCTGGTCCCTTTGCTACTTTTAAGAATTGGCTAGCCCTGGAAGGTCCTGTCTCTCCCTAGCTAGAAAAGTTTGTTAAGATGTCAAAACATGATAATATACAGAAATTAAAAATATATATACAAGCAGAAATCAAGGAATAGGTATTTACTCTTAAAGAAATGAAGTGGAAATTAATATGTATTCCTTCCCTTCAGGGGCCTCTGACTAGGGCTTAGACATGTAGCCCTACCTAGCTACAAGAGAGGTTGACAAATGTAACTTAGCCATGTGCCCAGGAAGAAGAGAAAGATGGGCCCAGCTGTCCATAGACCTTATACGTCTGAAAATGTCTTATTCCACCCTCACATTTGACTCATAGTTTAGCTGGTTATAGAATTCTAGGATGGATATGATTTTTCTCAGGATTTTGAAGGCGTTGATCCACTATTCCTAGATTCTAGATTGTGAAGTCTGATATTTAGATTACTGACCTCTTGTAAAAGACCCATTCTTTTTCTTCTGGAGGATTTCAGATTTTTAAAACTACTGTTCTAAAATCTCATGATATGGTGTCATAGTATGGATTCTTTCATTGTGTTAGGAATTTGCACAGTAGAAAGTTGTATCAGTCAGTTCTGGGAAATTTTATTGCATTTTTTTCTTTGATAATTGCCTCTCGTCCATTTTCTCTGTTCTGTCTTTCTGAAAAAATCTTATAATTTGGATGTTTGACCTCCTGGGCTGACACTCTAATTTTCTTATATTTCTTCTTCTGTCTTCCAACTCTGTCGTTTTATTTTTCTTCTGGGGAGATTTCCTCAGCTTCTAAAGTCTTCAAATCCTTCTAGTGAATTTTGAGGTTTTTTTTTTTCAAAGAGATCTTTTTTTTCTCTACAACCATTTTTAAGATGGCATCTCTTACTTTTTTTTTTTTTCGTGGGTGCTATACTTTCTCTTATATTGCTGAGGACATTTGAAGTTGGTTTTGCTGTTTGCATTGTCTCAGTTCTCTCTGGCTTTGCTTCATAGGGATATTTGTTTTGGTCTCTATATTTCAAGCTAGAGATTTTTCTCAAATATCTGGTAATCCCAGAATGTCCTTTGCATTTGAGTGAGGCACTAATATGATGCCTGGAAGCTTTGTGAGCAGGGGTAGGGCCTGTCAACTGGTGGACTTAGCTTTAGGGTAATTTAGCAGAGACGTGGCAGTTTAGATTGGGAAGATCCTCAAAATGTCAGTATCTAGTGTTGGCTAATTTCTTTCCACAAGAATTCTCCAGATCCTGTCTAGAGCATACTAGCATAGCTGCTGAAGTGCTGGAAGCTGAGCAAGGGAATAGGTAATGTGGGTTTTACATTTCAGGGTGTAAGCATTTCCTTAATTGCATAGTTTCAGTAAAACCTTTTGAGAGGTGACAGGGTGCTGGCAGCTCTCGCTCAGTCTCGGAGCCTCCTCGGCCTCGCCACCCATTCTGGCTGCGCTTGAGGGGCCCTTCAGCCCCCCGCTGCACTGTGGGAGACCCTCTCTGGGCTGGCCGAGGCCGGAGCCAGCTCCCTCAGCTTTCAGGGAGATGTGGAGGGAGAGGCACGGGCGGGAACCCGGGCTGCCTGCGCCACTTGCGGGCCAGCACTAGTTCCAGGTGGGCGTGGCCTCGGGGGGCCCCACACTCTGAGCCTCGGGCTGGCGTGGCCAGCACAGCCGGCCCCAGGCAGTGAGGAACTTAGCACCCGGGCCAGCAGCTGCGGAGGGTGCGCCAGGTTCCCCAGCAGTGCCGGCGGGTGCTGCGCTCCAATTCCAGCCGGACCTCAGCTGCCTCCCTGAGGGGCACGGCTCGGGACCTGCAGCCCGCCATGCCTGAGCCTCCCCCACGCCGCCATGGGCTCCTGTGCAGCCAGAACCTCCCAGACGAGCGCTGCCCCTTGCTTTGCGGCACCCGGTCCCATAGACTGCCCAAGGGCTGAGGAGTGCTGGCGCACGGCGTGGGACTGACGGGCAGCTCCATCTGCGGCCCAGGTGCAGGATCCACTAGGTGAGGCCAGCTGGGCTCCTGAGTGTAGTGGGGACTTGGAGAACCTTTATGTCTAGCTGAGGGATTGTAAATACACCAATCAGCACTCTGTGTCTAGCTCAAGGTTTGCAGATGCACCAATCAGCACCCTGTGTCTAGCTAATCTGGTGGGGACTCGGAGAATCTTTATGTCTAGCTAAGGGATTGTAAATACACCAATCAGCACTCTGTGTCTAGCTCAAGGTTTGTAAACACACCAGTCAGCACCCTGTGTCTAGCTAATCTGGTGGGGACTTGGAGAATCTTTATGTCTAGCTAAGGGATTGTAAATACACCAATCAGCACCCTGTGTCTCGCTCAAAGTTTGTAAACATACCAATCAGCACCCTGTGTATAGCTCAAGGTTTGTAAATGCACCAATCAGTGCTCTGTGGGGACTTGGAGAACTTTTGTGTCTAGCTCAGGGATTGTAAACACACCAGTCAGCACCTTGTCAAAACAGACTAATCAGCTCTCTGTAAAACAGACCAATCGGCGCTCTGTAAAATGGACCAATCAGTAGGATGTGGGTGCCACCAGATAAGGGAATAAAAGCAGGCTGCCCTGAGCCAGCAGTGGCAATCCGCTTGGGTACCCTTCCATAGTGTGGAAACTTTGTTCTTTCACTCTTTGTGATAAATATTGCTGCTGCTCACTCTTTGAGTCCACACTGCGTTTATGAGTTGTAACAGTCACTGCGAAAATCTGCAGTTTCACTCCTGAGGCCAGTGAGATCACGAACCCACCAGAAGAAACGCTGAACACATCTGAACATCAGAAGGAACAAACTCAGGACACACCACTTGTAAGAACTGTGACACTCAAGGCGAGAGTCCACGGCTTCATTGTTGAAGTCAGACCAAGAACCCACCAATTCTGGATACACTTTCACTCCTGCCTTCAGCAGTGCCTGGGATTACTGGTCTAGAGTTTCTTTGAGATAAAACCCTAAGCTGTTAAAAGGGAGAGAGGTGTATTCATCCAAGTCCTTGAGTGGAAGGAGTGATCTGGAGCTGAGAGACAGTTCCCAGCTACATTGTATTTCAACTATCCTTCCTGTATTTAGTCACATGCCACACCCAAATCTTTAGAGGAACCCAGTTGCAATTCCCGAATCTTTCCAGGATTCCACAGAATTAATAATCTACCAGTAGTTGACTTACTCTCACCCCCAATGGAGGCCTGTATGTTGAAGCTTTCTCTGTTGTGTTGGGGAGTTACCACTCATCTGCCTATTACCTTCAAAAAAACAAAAATTAAATATTTCCTCTGCTGTTATCTCTCCATCGTTTGTCCTTGTGGAGGTATGTGTTTTGTTATTTCTCTACTTTTTATTCTTCTATGAAATCCATAAGCCTCCATATATACTTATTCTTTTATTCATTCCAATTGGGGTCTACCCCATCATGCAAATCTGTTTTCAATAAACTAAACTCACTTCCATACTGTCTCTGAATCTAATGGACATGGCCCAGGCCATACCTTACTTGATCTCTCTGCAAAAATCAATTCAGCTAACTGCCATATTTTTCTAGAGCCTCTCTATTCTCTTGACTTCCTTGATTCACTTTTTAGAGTTTTCTTTCTGCCTTAGTGGATGCTCCTTCTCAGTCTCATTCATTTGCGTCTCCTCCTCTATCTGAGTGATGCAGTGGCCAGGGCTTGGTCCAGCGCCCTATTCTCCAACTATACTCTCCCAGACAAGTGATCTCAGTCAGCTTCATGGCTTTAAATACAATGTATATTTAAATGACTTCCAGTTTCACGTCTTTTGATCTGATTTCTCCTCTGAGAACTAAGTGCAGGTTTCCAACTGCCAACAGTCTCCTGGATATCTAATGGGCACAAAAAGTTCAAAGTCTAATATTTCCAACTTCCACTTCATCCCTATTCATTCAGATAAATAGAACTAATTTCCACTCTGCGTAAGCCCCAAAGCTAGAAGTTGTTCTTGACTTCTTTTCGTGTCATCCACCACATGCAGCCTTTCAACACTTCCTATTGGTTCTACTTTTCTAATTTCAAAACATAGCTTGTATTCATCCACTGAAATGTATCTCCCCTGCTACCATCCTAGTTCAAGCAATAATTACTGCTCTTAATTTTTTCACTCTTGCCCTCCTACATGCCAGTTTTCACACAGCATCTTTTAAAAACATAAATCAGTTTTGTTTTCTACTTTCTCTTCCCTTCCTGAATGATTAAGCCCCAGATCATTAGGTGAGGCAGAGCAAAGCAGATATCAGGGTTGGACAGGAGGGGAGACAGCAGTGGCCCAGAGGAGGATATAAGAAACTGAACTGGGCCGGGTGCGGTGGCTCACACCTGTAATCCTAGCACTTTGGGAGGCTGAGGTGGGCAGATCACCTGAGGTCAGGAGTTCGAGGGCAGCCTGGCCAACATGGCAAAACTCTGTTTCTACTAGAAATACAAAAATTAGCTGGGTGTGGTAGCACATGTCTGTATTTCCAGCTACTCAGGAGGCTGAGGCAGGAGAATCCCTTGAACCCGGGAGGTGGAAGTTGCAATGAGCCGAGATAGCACCACTGCACTCCAGCCTGGGTGACAGAGCAAGAAACTAAATTGGATGAAGTGGACTTCTCCACAGAGTGGCAGCCTGGCATGTTTTGTCAGAATCTTGTGAGGGTGAGAGGGAGTATGGGGTGGAGGGAGTATGGGCTGAAAATGAATGAATAGAATACCAGTGATTTTGTGAGACAATGTTTTGTCTACAATATGTGTTATTGAAGTTCCAGAAAAAAAGGGAACCGAAAACATGTTTAAAGAAATAGTAGCTGAAAAAATTAAATTTGATGAAAACTATAAACTCACAGATCCCAAGAACTCAACAAATATCAAGCAAAATAAACTTTAAAAAATCATACCAAAGTACAACGTAATCAAATAACTAAAAATCAGTGATAAAAGGGAAATCCTAGAACGAGCTAGAAAAGACACATTGTATAGAGAGGAGCAAAGACAAGCATCTAACAGACTTCCTGTGAAAAACCATGACAACCAGAAGATAAAGAAGCAACATCATTAAAATACTGAAAGAAAAAAATACTTTATCAACCTAGAATTACACGGAGTAAGAATATTTTCAATATGAAGATGAAATGAAGGCTTTTCTAGACAAGCAAAAACTGGAAGACCTTGCCTCCTGGAAATTGACTTTTTTTTTTTTTTTTTTTTTTGATACGGAGTTTCGCTCTTGTTGCCCCAGGCTGGAGTGTAATGGCACGATCTTGGCTCACTGCAACCTCTGCCTCCCGGTGAGAGGTGACAGCGTGCTGGCAGTCCTCAGAGCCCTCGCTTGCTCTCGGCACCTCCTCTGCCTGGCCTCCCACTTTGGCGGCACTTGAGGAGCCCTTCAGCCCACCGCTGCACTGTGGGAGTCCCTTTCTGGGCTGGCCGAGGCCAGAGCCGGCTCCCTCAGCTTGCAGGGAGGTGTGGAGGGAGAGGCGCCAGCGGGAACCGGTACTGTGCGCGGCGCTTGCGGGCCAGCTGCAGTTCCGGGTAGGCGTGGGCTTGGCGGCCCCCGCACTCGGAGCAGCCAGCGGGCCCTGCAGGCCCCGGGCAGTGAGGGGCTTAGCACCTGGGCCAGTGGCTGCGGAGGGTGTACTAGGTCCCCCAGCAGTGCCGGCCCACTGGCGCTGCACTGGATTTCTCACTGGGCCTTAGCTGCCTTCCCATGGGGCAGGGCTGGGGACCTGCAGCCCGCCATGCCTGAGCCTCCCACCCCCTCCATGGGCACTCCCCGATGAGCGCCGCCCCCTGCTCCAGGGCGCCCAGTCCCACCGACCGCCCACGGGCTGAGGACTGTGAGCGCATGGTGTAGGACTGGCAGACAGCTCCACCTGCGGCCCCGGGGCGGGATCCACTGGGTGAAGCCAGCTGGGCTCCTGAGTCTGGTGGGGACGTGGAGAGTCTTTATGTCTAGCTTAGGGATTGTAAATACACCAATCAGCACCCTGTGTCTAGCTCAGGATTTGTGAGTACACCAATGGACACTCTGTATCTAGCTGCTCTGGTGGGGCCTTGGAGAACCTTTATGTCTAGCTCAGGGATTGTAAATACACCAATCGGCACTCTGTATTTAGCTCAAGGTTTGTAAACACACCAATCAGCACCCTGTGTCTAGCTCAGGGTTTGTGAGTGCACCAATCAACACTCTGTATCTAGCTGCTCTCGTGGGGCCTTGGAGAACCTTTATGTCTAGCTCAGGGATTGTAAATACACCAATCGGCACTCTGTATCTAGCTCAAGGTTTGTAAACACACCAATCAGCACCCTGTGTTTAGCTCAAGGTTTGTGAGTGCACCAGTTGACACTCTGTATCTAGCTGCTCTGGAGGGGCCTTGGAGGACCTCTGTGTCCATATTCTGTATCTAACTAATCTGATGGGGACGTGGAGAACCTTTGTATGTAGCTCAGGGATTGTAAACGCACCAATCAGCACCCTGTCAAAACAGACCACTCGGCTCTACCAATCAGCAGGATGTGGGTGGGGCCAGATAAGAGAATAAAAGCAGGCTGCCCGAGCCAGCAGTGGCAACCTGCTTGGGTCCTTTTCCACACTGTGGAAACTTTGTTCTTTTGCTCTTTGCAATAGATTTTGCTACTGCTCACTTTTTGGGTCTACACTGTTTTTATGATCTGTAACACTCACTGTAAAGGTCTGCAGCTTCACTCCTGAAGCCAGCGAGCCCACAAGCCCACTGAGAGGAAGGAACAATTCCACACGCACGGCCTTAAGAGTTGTTAACACTCACTGTGAAGGTCTGCAGCTTCACTCATGAGCCAGCGAGAGCACAAACCCACCAGAAGGAAGAAACTCCGAACACATCCAAACATCAGAAGGAGCAAACTCCAGACATGCCACCTTAAGAGCTGTAACACTCACTGTGAGGGTCTGTGGCTTCATTCTTGAAGTCAGTGAGACCAAGAACCCACCAATTCCAGACACACTGGGTTCAAGCGATTCTCCTGCCTCAGCCTCTCGAGTAGCTGGGATTACAGGCATGTAATTAGCCACACCATGCCTGGCTAATTTTGTATTTTTAGTACAGATGGGGGTTATCAATTTTGGTTAGGCTGGTATCGAACTCCTGGTGATCTGCCTGCCTCTGCTTCCCAAAATGCTGGGATTACAGGTGTGAATCGACGGGCAAGACTGACATTTTTTTTTAAATGTAAAAGTTCTTCAGGAAGAAAAAATTTAGATCTATGCAAAAAAGAATGAAGTGTGCTGGAAATGATAAATATATGGGTAAAAATAAAATTTTTTTCATTTAAATTTTAAAAGATAATATACTTGAGTAATAATGAATTATGAGGCTTATATGTAGACATAAAATGTATGACAACAGTGGTACAAGGGATAGAAAAAGGAAATGGAAGTGTACTGTGTTGAGACTCTCATGCCTTTACATGAAGAGGAATGAGCTCACTGGGAGGTAGACAGTGATAAAGGTGTATATCGTAAATCCTAGAGCAAAGGCACACAAATAAGTGATATTTAATAAGCTAATGGTGGAAATAAAATGGGGTCAAAAATGACTCAGGTCATGGTGCAGCGGTTTATGCCTGTAATCCCAGCCCTTTGGGAGGCTGAGGCAGGTGGATCACTTGAGGCCAGGAGTTAGAGACCAGCCTGGGCAACGTGGTGAAACCCTGTCTCTACTAAAAATACAAAAATTAGCTGGGCGTGGTGGCGCATGCCTGTGGTTCCAGCTACTCAGGAGGCCGAGGCAGGAGAATCACTTGAACCTGGGAAGTGGAATTGGCAGTGAGCTGAGATCCCATCACTGCACTCCAGCCTGAGTGACAGATCAAGACGCTCAAAAAACAAAACAAAACAAAAAACAAAATACTGGGTTAATTAAAAAAAAAAAAAGTAGGCGAAAAATGGAGGAAAAGGTAAGAAGATCAGATGAGAAAAATAGAAAACAAATATGAAGACTATTAAATTCAGGGCCAGCTACAGTGGTTCACACTTGTAATTCCAGCACTTTTTGGGGCTGAGGCAGGAAGATTACTTGAGCCCAGGAGTTCGAGACAAGCCCAGGCAACATAGGGAGACCCCATCTTTACAAGAAATAAAAATTAAAAAGTAATTAGCCAGGCATCATGACTCGTGCCTGTGATCCTAGATAGTTCGGAGGCTGAGGCAGGAGGATTTCTTGAGCTTAGAAAGTCAAGGCTGCAGTCAGCCGTGATTGTGCCACTGCATTATAGCCTGAGAGACAGAGCAAGACTCTGTCTCTAAAAAAGAATCAGACCCAACGTATTTATAATTACATTAAATGTATATGGTCCAGACACCACAATTAAAAGGCAGAGATTGACACATTGGTTAAAAAAGAAAGCCCCAAATAAATAATATTCAACCAAGAAATACATTTTAACTAACTATAACTACAAATAGGGTAAACAATAGGATAAAAATAAGAGGAAGAAAGATACGGCCATACTGTATGTTAGCCATGCTAACATCAATTTAAAAAAAAATTGAGTGACTATTTCAAAATCAGACAAAATAGGCTTAAGAAGAGGTATATTATTAGGGATAAAGAGAGACATTTCATAATTATAATCACAACACAATATTTACTAACTACAAAGGGAGAAAAACCAGCCTGGATACACCTTCTTAATCAAGTAATCCAAGAGAACATCATCAATGATGGGACACATTGATATTATCTGTCACCTGATAGTATGCAAAGAGAAGAATACAGCATCACTTCAGTGGTTTTCCTGGCAAAGATTAATAACATGAGCCTAATCATGATGAAACATTACAAAAACTCAGTTTAAGGAAAATTCTATAAAATAATTGACCTGTAATCTTCAAAGGTTAAAAGTTATGAGATCAAAGGAAGACTGAAGAACTGCACCAGACTGAAGAAGACTAAAGAGACAGAACAACGAAAAACAACACACGATTCTGAATTGAACTGGTTTACTATTAAAGACATTATTAGAACAACTAACAAAACTTGAAAGGGATCTAAGGATCAGGTGGCAGCAATATATTCATGTGAATTTCTTGATCTTGATGGCTGTATTATGGTTGCGTATGAGAATATATAAAGTATTGAAGGATAATGAGACATCAGGTTACCAAGTAACTCCCAAATGATTCAGGGAAAAGGGTTCTTTGTGTTATACTTGTTACAAAAGAATTTGTGATTTTTTTTTCAAAATAAAAACAAAGAGAAATTAACCAGAGTATGTTATTCCAGTGGGTCTTCATTGTATTTGAGATGAAATTTAACCTTTCTACCATGGTATTTTGCTAAACTCTGAGTATACCCCTGTCAGCAAAAGAAATGTGGGCTTATGTTCTTGTAAAGAAGAGTTTAGAATATAAAGAATGTAAATACACCTTTGGGTTATGTGTTGTTAAAAAGGCAGGGGTCCTGCTTCAGAGATTATGGTTAGAAAAGGTCTCTCTACCGCCTCGTTTTCTCCTTCAGTAACTACATTCCAGCCACCCTGGTCTCCTATATATTCATGAATCACATCGAGCTCATTAACAACTCAGGGTATTTGTACTTATGCTATCAATCTGTGATGTCCTTCTCCTGGCCTTTCAAATTGCTGCCTTCTTTTTTTTTTTTTTTTTAAGATGGAGTTTTGCCCTTGTTGGCCAGGCTGGAGTGCAGTGGTGCAATCTTGGCTCACCGCAACCTCCGCCTTCCGGTTCAAGTGATTCTCCTGCCTCAGCCTCCTGAATAGCTGGGATTATAGGCATGCGCCACCATGCCTGGCTATATTTTGTATTTTTAGTAGAGATGGGGTTTCTCCATATTGGTCAGGCTGGTCTTGAACTCCCGGCCTCAGGTGATCTGCCTGCCTTGGCCTCCCAAAGTGCTGGGATTACAGGCTTGAGCCACTGCGCCCAGCCCAAATGGCTGCCTTCTTATCCTTCAGATCTCAGTTCATATGTCAGTTCCTCAGAGAGACCTTTTCTGACTCCAGTATCTAAAGCAGCACCACTGCTTTCTTTAACAGCACTTAAGCCAATGTGTATTTATATTTTATATTGTAGCTCTCTTCTTTACTAAATTATAAGCCCATATCCCTTTTGCTGACAGGAGTATGCCCAGAATTTAGTAAAATACCAGGTACATGTTAAGCCCTCAATAACTGAATAAATAAATGAATAAGCAGTACTGAGTATATGTGAAAGTAACACTATACTAAACCAGCAAATTCATCTTTAACCCATTCCCACCACCTTATTTGTTCTCCACCTCAGGCTCTGAGAATACCACAGCCTTCACAAAAGGCTCCGACACCACCACAGCCTCCATCACAGGCTCTGAGACCACCATGGCCTCCACCATGGCCTCTACTACGGCCTTAACTACAGGCTCTAAGATCACCACAGACTCTACCACAGGCTCTGAGACAACCTCAGCCTCCACCATGGCTTCTACTGCAGCCTTCACCACAGGCTCTGAGACCAACACGGCCTCTACCACAGACTCAGGGACTACTATAGCCTCCACTGGGACCTTCACCACAGGCTCTGACACAACCACAGGCTCCACTGCAGGCTCTGAAACTATCGTGGCCTCCACCACAGTCTCTGGGACCACAACAACCTTTACTATAGCCTCCACTACAGTCCCTGAGACTACCATGGCCTCCAGCACAACCTCCACTGCAGGCTCTGAGAAAACGATGGCCTCCTCCATAATTTCTGAGACCACCATGGCCTCCACCACAGGCTCTGAGACTGCCACAGTCTCTACCACAGGCTCTGAGACCACCACCACCTCCACTGCAAGCTCTGAGGCCACTAAAGTCTCTACCACAGGCTCTGAAACCACCACAGCATCTACTGCAGGTTCTGAGACCACCACTACCTCCACCTCCATGGCAGGCTCTGAGGCCACCACAACCTCAACTGCAGACTCCAAGGTGATCACGGCGTCCAGCATGAGCTCTGAGACCACTGTGGCCCCCGCTGCAGGCTCTAACACCACCACAGCCTCTACCACAGGCTCTGAGACCACTACAATCCTGATTAAAGCCTCTGAGACCACCACAGCCTCTACAGCAGGTTCTGAGACCACCACCCCCTCCCCCACAGGCTCTCAGACCACCATAGTCTCTATTTCAGGTTCTGAGATCACCACCACCTCTACGGCAGGATCCGAGAACACCACAGTCTCTAGTGCAGGCTCTGGGACCACCACAGCTTCTATGGCAGGCTCTGAGACCACCGTCTCCACTGCAGGCTCTGAGACCACTACAGTCTCTATCACAGGCACTGAGACCACCATGGTCTCTGCCATGGGCTCAGAGACCACCACAAACTCTACTACAAGCTCTGAGACCACCGTCACCTCTACTGCAGGCTCTGAGACCACCACAGTCTCCACCGTGGGCTCTGAGACCACCACAGCCTATACTGCAGATTCTGAGACCACTGCAGCCTCTACCACAGGCTCTGAGATGACCACAGTCTTCACTGCAGGCTCGGAAACCATCACACCCTCTACTGCAGGCTCAGAGACCACCACAGTCTCTACTGCAGGCTCTGAGACCACTACAGTCTCCACCACAGGCTCTGAGACCACAACAGCCTCTACTGCACATTCTGAGACGACTGCAGCCTCCACCATGGGCTCTGAGACCACCAAAGTCTCAACTGCAGGCTCTGAGACCACAGTCTCCACTGCAGGCTCTGAGACCACTGCAGCCTCTACTGAAGATTCTGAAACCAACACAGCATTTACTGAAGATTCTAAGACTACCACAGCCTCTACTACAGGGTTTGAGACAACCGCAGCCTCTACTACAGGCTCTGAGCCTACCATGGCATCCACCATGGGCTCTGAGACCACTATGGCCTCTACCATAGGCCCTGAGACCACCAAGGTCTCCACTGCAAGCTCTGAGGTGACCACAGTCTTTGCTGCAGGCTCTGAGACAATCAGAGCCTCTACCGTAGGCTCTGAGACCACCACAGTCTCTACCACAGGCTCTGAGACCACCACAGCCTCCATCATGGGCTCTGAGACCAGCACAGATTCTACCACAGGCTCTGAGACCACCACAGCCTCTACTGAAGGCTCTGAGACCACCACAGCTTCCACTGAAGGCTCTGAGGCCACTACAGTCTCCACCACAGGCTCTGAGACCACTACAGTTTCTATCACAGACTCAGAGACCACCACCACCTGTACTGAAGGCTCTGAGATGACTGCAGTCTCCACCACAGTCTTTGAGACCACTACAGCCTCTACTGAAGGCTCTGAGATCACAATAGCCTCTACTTCAGACTCTGAGACCACCACAGCTTCTACTGAAGGTTCTGAGACCACTACAGTCACTACCGCAGGCTCTGAGACCAAAACAGCCTATACTACAGGCTCTGAGACCACCACAGCCTCTAATACAGGCTTGGAGACCACCACAGTCTTTACCATAGGCTCTGACACCACCACAGCCTCTACTGAAGGCTCTGAGACCACTGCAGTCTCTGCCACAGGCTCTGAGATGACCACAGTCTCTACTGAAGGCTCTGAGAACACTACAGTCTCCACCACAGGCTCTGAGACCACTACAGTTTCCACCACAGGCTTGGAGACCACCACCACTTCCACTGAAGGCTCTGAGATGACTACAGTCTCCACCACAGGTGCTGAGACCACCACAGACTCTACTGAAGGCTCTGGGACCACTGCAGCCTCCACTGCAGGCTCTGAGACCACCACAGTCTCTACTGCAGATTCTGAGAACACCACAGCATCTACTGCAGATTCTGAGACCACCTCAGCCTCTACTACAGGCTCTGAGACCACCACAGCCTCTACTACAAGCTCTGAGACCACCACAGCCTCTACTGAAGGCTCTGAGACCACTACAGTCTCCACCACAGACTCTGAGACCACCATGGTCTCTACCACAGGCTCTGAGAGGACCATCACCTCTACTGAAGGCTCTGAGACCACTACAGTATCTGCCACAGGCTCTGAGACCACAGTCTCTACTGAAGGCTCTGGGACCACTACAGTCTCCATCACAGGCTCTGAGACCACTAAAGTTTCTACCACAGGTTCAGAGACCACCACCACTTCTACTGAAGGCTCTGAGATTACTACAGCCTCCATCACAGGCTCTGAGACCACCACAGCCTCTACTGAAGGCTCCGAGACCACCACAGCCTCTACTGAAGGCTCCGAGACCACCTCAGCCTCTACTACAGGCTCTGAGACCACCACAGCCTCTACTACAAGCTCTGAGACCACCATGGCATCCATCATGGGCTCTGAGACCACTATGGCCTCTACCATAGGCTCTGAGACCACCAAGGTCTCCACTGCAAGCTCTAAAATGACCACAGTCTTCACTGAAAACTCTGAGACCACCATAGCCTCTACCACAGCCTCTGAGACCACCACAGTCTCCACTGCAGGCTCTGAGACCATCCCAGCCTCTACAGCAGGCTCTGAGACCACCACCACCACCTCTACTGAAGGCTCTGAGACCACTACAGCCTCTACTGAAGGCTCTGAGACCACCACAGCCTCTACTGAAAGCTCTGAGACCACTACAGCCACTACCATAGGCTCTGAGACCACCACAGCCTCTACTGAAGGCTCTGAGACTACCACCACCTCTACTGAAGGCTCTGAGACCACCACAGCCTCTACTGAAGGCTCTGAGATCACTACAGTTTCTACCACAGGCTCTGAGACCACCACAGCCTCTACTGAAGGCTCTGAGACCACCACAGCCTCTACTGAAGGCTCTGAGCTCACTACAGTTTCTACCACAGGCTCTGAGACCATCACAGTCTCTGCTGAAGGCTCTGAGACCACTACAGTCACTACTATGGGCTCTGAGACCACCACGGCCTCTACTGCAGGCTCAGAGACCACCACAGTCTCTACTGCAGGCTCTGAGACCACCACAGCCTCTATTGAAGGCTCTGAGACCACTACAGTCTCCTCCACAGGCTCTGAGACCACCACAGTCTCTACCACAGGCACTGAGACTACCATCACCTCTACTGAAGGTTCAGAGACCACTACAGTCACTACTGCAGGTTCTGAGACCACAGCAGTCTATACCACAGGCTCTGAGACTACCACCACCTCTACTGAAGGCTCTGAGACAACCACAGTCTCTACCACGGGCTCTGAGACCACCACAGCCTCTACCGCAGATTTGGAGACCACCACAGTCTCCACCTCAGGCTCTGGGACCACCACAGCCTCTACCGCAGGCTCTGAGACCACAACAGTCTATATCACAGGCTCTAAGACTACCACCGCCTCTACTGAAGGCTCTGAGGCCACTACAGTTTCTACCACTAGCTCTGAGACCACCACAGCCTCTACCACAGGCTCTGAGATGACTACAGTCTTTACCACAGTCTCTGAGACCACCACAGTCTCTACCATAGGCTCTGAGGCCACCACATCCTCTGCTGCAGGCTCTGAGGCCACCACCACCTCTACTGAAGGCTCTGAGACCACCACAGCCTCCACTGCAGGCTCTGAGACCACCACAGCCTCCACTGCAGGCTCTGAGACCACCACAGCCTCCACTTCAGGCTCTGAGACCAACACAGCCTGTACCACAGGTTCTGAGACCTCCACACCCTCCAGTGCAGGCTCTGAGACCAACACTGCCTTCATCATAGGCTCTGAGACCACCATAGCTTCCACTGCAAGCTTGGAGCCCACTGCAACTTCCCTCACAGGCTCTGAGACCACCACAGTCTCTATCACAGCTTCTGGGGCCACTGCAGCCTCCACCACTGTCTCTTCCACCACGTTTGTACTCACCAAGGCCACTGACGTTTCTATCCAGCCCATCACCAACACACCTATGTCAGGTACTAACCCCCATGTCTTCTTTGAGCCCACACATTTTAACTCCAGTGGCAACCACCAGCTGTTCACCTGTTTCTATCATCTCTGCCCTGGTTCAAGTCAAGCCAGCACACAGTTAGATATAATTTCCTCTTCTAGGCTGGGCGCGGTGGCTCATGCCTGTAATCCCAGCACATTGGAAGGCTGAGGCGAGCGAATCACGAGATCAGGAGATTGAGACCATCCTGGCTAACACGGTGAAATCCAGTCTCTACTAAAAATACAAAAAATTAGCTGGGCGTGGTGGCGGGCACCTGTAGTCCCAGCTACTCGGAAGGCTGAGGCAGGAGAATGATGTGAATCCGGGAGGTGGAGCTTGCAGTGAGCAGAGATCGCGCCATTGCATTCCAGCCTGGGCGACAGAGCGAGACTCCGTCTCAAAAAAAAAAAAAAAAAAATTTCCTCTTCTGGAATCCTAATTGCCTCTACTCTGGTCTCACCTCTTTTTTTTTTTTAAGTGCCCACCACTTCCATTGCAATCAGAACCACAATATAGTAAACCACAAGTGCATCATATCTGTCACATCTTCCTCCAGCAAGCCCGCCTCAACTCTACTGGCCCATCACAGTTTTGTGAAATGCTCCCACTTCGGTGCCAAGTAGATTATCTCTATTCAACCAACCATCTGTGACACTGCCACCTCCTATCAATGTATTGACTCTAGACCAGAGGCTGGCAGACCACATTTCATGGGTCAAGTCTCACCTGTTACCTGGTTTTGTAAAGTTTTACTGGAACATAGTCATGCCCATTCATTTATGGTTTGTCTCCAGCTGCTTTTCTGCTTTTCCGTGTATTTGCAACAGAGACAGCCTGGCCCAAAAGCCTAAAGTATTTGCTGTTTGGACCTTTACAGAAAAAATTTGGCAACCTTTGCTCCAGTCTGAGACCAAACAATTTTGTTCATTCTCTGGCACTTGCCATCAGCAAGCCGGTTACATCTGATTCTATCCTCTTGGTTCTAAGCACACTCACTTCTATTCTCATGACTGGTGCTGTTTGTGATCCCATTTTAACCACTTCTGACCTAGGCACACCCATCGCTACCTAAGCCGCCACCACCGCCTCTGCTGTGTTGATTCGTGCTCACACCTGTCTGAGCCCACCCTCTCCTATCCCTGTGAGCAGCCTTCTCCACTTGGGTCAGGTCCTCCCACATCTGCCCAAGCACACTCACCTCACCTTTGCTGATCACCACAGTGTGGTAGATGATGTCACCTCTGTCCCAGCCACGGCCACTGGCATGCCCATGAGTGAATCCAATTCTGCCATCTCCTCCTCCAGCTCCCTCCTTACACCCAGTGATCACAGTCACAAAAGAAGCAGGGCCTGCCGCTTTGTATACCAGCCCACCCACTTATTTGATCTGCTTTGATTTATTTATTTTCAATTTTTTCCATAAGTTATTGGGATGCAGGTGGTATTTGGTTATATGAATAAGTTCTTTAGTGGTGATTTGTGAGATTTTGGTGCACCCATCACCCTAGTAGTATACACTGCACCATATTTGAAGTCTTTTATCCCTCGCCCCCTCCCACTCTTCCCCCAAAGTCCCCAAAGTCCATTGCATCATTCTTATGTCTTCGTATTTCCATAGCTTAGCTCCCACATATCAGTGAGAACATACGATGTTCGGTTTTCCATTCCTGAGTTACTTCACTTAGAAGAATAGTCTAAAATCTCATCCAGGTCACTGCAATGCTGTTAATTCATTCCTTTTTATCAGCCCACCCTCTTCTATTTGGGTGGCCACTTCTGAAGTCAAATAGATCTTCCACTTCTGAACCCATCGCGATAACGTTTCCTCAAACTTCTGCCTCCTCCATCACCAACTCCACCAGGTGACACATTCTACCTCCTTCTCTGTATGACACCCACCTGCATTCTGGGGACATGGCCACAGCAGAATCGCTTTCTACCATCTCTCCTCCCCCACCACACCTCTCCTGAGCCACCTCCACCATAGGTTTGTTAGATTCACCCTCCTCTGCTCTAAGCACCCCCATTCCCCTTTAATCATCTCTGCTACAAATGCATCATCTTGTGTGACCTGTTTCATAGGCACCAGAACCACTGGAACCAGACCCACTGCCTCCAGCTCTGTCACCATGGCCCCTGGAATGGACTTCACGGCCTCTGCTGCCAGCCATACTGTGCCAGGAATAGTCTTAAACACCTCTGGCCTGGGTACATCCACTATGGGAGCATCATCTACCACCTCAGCCCACGGCGTCAGGACCACCACAGGATCCACCCGTGAGCCAACCAGCAGCACCTTCCAGGAAACAGGCCCGGTGTCCATGGGCACAAACACAGTTAGCATGAGCCACACACCCACAAACGTGATCAAACCAAGTGGATATTTACAGCCCTGGGCTATCATCCTCATTTCCCTGGCTGCAGTTGTGGCTGCTGTTGGATTGTCAGTAGGACTGAGTTTTTGTCTGGTGAGTACCCAGGGTGGGTTCATAGGGGAGCCTGGCAAGAAGGCAGGGGGGAATCATGTCAGCAGTGCTTTGGAAAAATCCAGAATGAGAAAGGGGAGTAAGTTGGTGCGCTCAGAAGGAAAGAATCACCTAGCCTGATATAAGGACCAGAGAGAATGCTTAAGTCAGAGAAAGTGAGAAGCAAAGTAGAAAAAGAGGAGGGAAAAGATGGAGTTGGGGCCAAAGTGAAGGGAAATACTGACAGAACAAGGGAAATACTGAGAGAGAACAAGGAGGACATAAACATAAAGAAAGCAAGAAGCAGCTGGGCGCAGTGGCTCACCCCTGTAATTCCAGCACTTTGGAAGGCCAAGGAGGGCGGATCACTTGAGTCCAGGCATTTGAGACCAGCCTGGCCAACATGGTGAAACTTGTCTTTACTAAAAATACAAAAATTAGTCGAGAGTGGTAGCATGGACCTGTAGTCCCAGCTACTTTGGAGGCTGAGGCACGAGAATTGCTTGAACCTGGGAGATGGAGGTTGCAGTGAGCAGAGATCGTGCCACTGCACTCCAGCCTGAGTGACAGAGCAAGATCCTGTCTCGAAAGGAAGGAAGAAAGAAAAGAAAGGTAGGAAGGAAGGAAGGAGAGAGAGAGAGAAAAAGAGAAAGAATGAGGAAGAAAGGAAGAAAGCAAGAAAGAGAAAGGAAGAAAGAAAGAAAGAAACTGAGAGAGAAAGAGAAAGAAAAAAGAAAGAAGGAAAGAAAGAGAGAGAGAAATAGAGAAAAGAAAGAAGCATAAAAATGTTCAGCCATCCAAAATGCGGGCTTCCGATTGTCTCATGTATGACAAATTTCTGGTCCTCACAGCAATTCCTTGTGTGGCCTGTGACTGTTACTCTCTGACCTCCCACTCCATCTCTGCTCTCTGGTCTTGATTGTTCTTTGAATACATATTTTTCTTACATCGATTTCACATTTATTGATGTTCTTCCTGTTTTCTTGTGATCCTGCGGGTAAGTTACCATTTGAGGAGTGAAGCAGAGTATAAATCAGTGGTGTGCTGGAGCTGGCTCATCCTGGCCCACAAGAGATTGTGCAGTTCTTCCCAATTCTGAGCTGAGTGGTGTGACACTGGTAGCTTAAAATATGCTGTGTTGGAAATTCTTACACCACAGTAATTGTCAAACACTACAAATCAGCACTTTTCCCTCGGAGAGCCTGTTATTAAGTGTTGGACAGCATACCACTGGTAAAAATGGACAAAATGAAAAATACGGAAGTCACAAAAGGTTTGGATAATATAGTCAATTTGCTGAGGTTCTTTATTTTAGAATTCTCAGCCTCTCTCCGTATGTGGACTACATAATAAATACCAGCATCTAAGAATTACTCCCTAAATTACTTTATTATTTCATTTGCAAGATCAAGAGAGAATAATGAAAGTGAACATTGAGTTTTTACTGCCTGCTAGGCTCAAGGCTGAATGTTTAAAATGCATAATGTTATTTAATCTGGCCTACAATCCCGTGGCCATATTATATTCATCTTACAAGTAAGGGATCTGGAGCTTCATGATCTTAGCTATTTGCCCCAGCACATGTAGTGAGTGGCAGATATAAGACTCTAACTCAGGTTAGTTGGATTCTGGAGTTCATGCCTATAATCTCAAAGCTCTGTGTAGACAGCTTTCTAGAGCTCTCAATTCCACGTACCTGTTCTGAGCTTTCTTAGCTGACTAACAAAGAGAAAGACTGTCTGTAAAGTGAGTCTCTGTGCCTTTCACATAGGGGTATGGATTTACCTTTGTCTTGGAAGTCCAAAAACACATAACCTTATGATCTGCAGAGCTAGGGCCTGAGTACGCACATAAAGATGATATGTTAATAAGGTAACAAGGAAGCTTATTTTGTCAGACGGAGAAAGAGTAAAAGAACAAGGAAAAAGAGAGACAGAGACACAGATCATAGTAAGGATGGTGGTAAAGAGAAGAGAACATGGGCAGTTTGGAAAAGTGAAAATCTGACATTGGTGAAACAGGCATGTATGGTGATTAGGGAGAGGAGACTTAATTTTCATTTATCAATGTATTTATTTTTTTCTTTTAGAGAGACCTTTTCTTCCCCCTGAGATATTGTGGTATTTATTACCCCCATGGCCACAGCCACAGCCTTGGTCTGGACCTGGACTTGGGCCTGGGCTCTGGGACATTCCACAGCCTGGGAAATGCACTGGTTCATGGAGGAGAACTTGAAATGGGACATGGAGGAACACACGGCTTTGGATATGGAGTGGGCCATGGACTGAGCCACATCCATGGAGATGGCTACGGAGTGAATCATGGCGGGCATTATGGACATGGAGGAGGCCACTGAGGACACCATGGAGTGGATCACAGAGGGAGCCACCAAGGAGGCCACGGCAGGACAAGATGGCTGTGGCCATAGATTGGGTATCAAAACATATTATGGGTGGGAGGGGGTCATGGAGGAGAAAAAAATAATGATCATGAAATAATTAAAATGGAGCATAGGAAGCTTCCCAGGATGTGATCCATGGAGATGGACATGGACTAGGTCAAGAAAAGAACCAGCAAAAGGACCTCAGAGACTTTGACTGGCTTGGAGGGGACTTCAAGTCAAAGCTTCTGTGAGTTTTTCCTGAGTCTCAGCCTCTGTTGTGGGGAGTCACGACAACCACCCTCAGGACATCTTCTCTCCCATTTCCCGCCACATCAGGGTCAACGTTTCTCATCCCTGTGTTTCCTCATGGTGCTATAAATATTACCAAGACATGTCTAAGAAACAAAAGCACATAATGAATGTATTATCAGGGCCACACACGTATTCGTTTTCCTGTTTGTTCTTTCAGGTTTTGTTTTTTTTTTTTTTTTTTGAGTGCTTATTATGTACCAATCACTATCCCAGGAGCCTTTAAATACGTCATCATTTGGCTGGGTGTGGTGGCTCACGCCTGTAATCCCAGCACTTTGGGAGGCCAATGCGGGTGGATCACTTGAGGTCAGGAGTTCGAGACCAGCCTGGCCAACATGGTGAAACCCCGTCTCTACTAAATAAATACAAAAATCAGCCAGGCGTGGTGGCGAGTGCCTATAATCCCAGCTACTCGGGATGCTGAGGCAGGAGAATCGGTTGAATCTGGGAGGTGGAGGTTGCAGTGAGGCGAGATTGTGCCACTGCACTCCAGCCTGGGCGACAGAGGAAGACTCTGTCTCAAAAAAAAAAAAAAGGTCATCATTTAATCCTCAGAAAATATCTTGGTGACCTTGAGGTAGGCAAAGATACTTAGATACTTAAGCAAGACACAAAAAGCACTAGCTATTAAAAGAAAGTGTGATGATTTGGACTTCATTAAAGCCTAGTATCAGCATATACCTTTAAGAGGTATATTCTTAACTATAAAAGGAAAGTCAAAGATGGGAGAAGATATTGCAACACATATAGCTAACAAACGACTCATATCCAGAATGCAGAAAGAGCTACAATAAGAAAAAGATGATGCAATTTTAAATTGGGCAAAATATTTGATAAATAGTTAGCAAAAGAGGATATCAAAACAGCCGGTGAACATTTGAAAAGGTACCCAATATCACTGCTTATCAGAAGTGGAATGTAAAACCGCAATGAGATACCACTACATACACACACTGTAATGACTAGCATTTGAAAGACTGCCAGTACCAAGTATTGGAAAGGACATTGAACAACTGGAACTCTCACACATTGTTAGTGGGAGTGTAAATTGATACAATTATCTTGGGAAAATGTTTGGCAATGCTAAAATTAAACACATACCCTATGACTCGGTACTTCCACTCCTGAGAGTAAATATCCAGCAGAAATGAATACCTGTGTCCACCAAAAGACATGTACCATGCCAGCTTCATTCATACCACTGCAGGGTGGAAATTTAACCCCAAAGTCCACTAACATTAGAACAGGTAAGTAAATTGTGACATATTCATGCAGTGGAATGCTACCCAGTAGTGAAAAAAAAAACCTATGAAATCACACAATAACATTAATGAATCTCATAGTCAGTGTTGAGTAAAAGAAGTCAAAACAAAAGTGTACCTACTGTATAATTCCATTCACATGCAGTTCAAGGCCATGTGACATTAACCTGTTGTAATAAAGGTCAGAGTTGAGGATGCCTTGGGGGAAAAGGCTGACCGGGAGAAGGCATGAGAAAGCCTTCTTGCAGGGGCAGACAGGGGAAGCTGAGAATGTTCTGTGTATGATCTGGGTGGTGATTACAAGGGTGTATAGATATGTAAAACTTCATTAAAATGTGCACATGAGATCTGTGCACTTTATGGTATGTAAGTTATGTCTCAATTTGAAAAATGAAAAAGATATTCTGAGGCTATTTTCTCAGCATATTATGATTTCCTTGGTCAGAGAATGTGGTTGGAGACACATGACGATAAATGAGGCATTTGGTAAGCCCAAAGACAGTGGTGCTGCAGGAAGCATTGTGTGCAAGGGAGGCAAGCAGCTATTTTCAATGAGGACAAATCACCTCTCTCTTTAGGTTGAAATAGGTCTGATATAATTAATCTGCCATTCTCTCTGGAGAATGGTGCCACATAACGGGGCCAACACTGATCTCTGCTGTTAGCAGTTGAGGCACTCAGCCATGGATTATCTGTCCAGCTTGGCCTTGGTGAGGGGAAGGCCAGCTCACTGAGCCTTGCATACGCTTCATCCCTGCCAGCCTGTCTGCTTTGTCCATGTCCCTGCTGAGCGAGCACTAGAGCAGCTGGAAAAAGAGATTGGCTGACGTCTGCAGAATGGATCGCTTGGTCAACCTCATCATGGAAGATTTCCTCTGTAGTGAACGCCCATTGGTGAACAGTCACATGGGATGCACATACTCTCACCATCTGTGCCCTTCCCAAGAGACTCGTCCACCTTCCTCTTTCCCAGACTTCCTTGTCATCAATTCACCATGTCTTTCCTCACCCTGAGTTATCTAGCCAAACTGTTAGCCACTGCCTATTGATCAGGGTTAACTGTAACTGGTCATCTCTTTGCCCAGGCAAAGTAAACAAAGCAGATGCATTCTTTACAATTCGGATCACTGGGAGAATTTTCCTTCCCCACTGTCCTGCAGGGCTGCCGTGAGTGGGGTGGTAATGCTGCAGCAGCCTGCTCTCTGTGGTGTTAGAATAGCATGCAGAACCACCCACACACCAGAGGAAACCAAATCTTTCCTTTCTCAGTCAACTAGACATAGGAAACCCTTCATGTGACTGTGATTATGGAGAGAGAGGTTAGGAATGTAGCTGGAGATGCCACTGGAGTTACAGCTGCCTACTCATGCCTCTTACTTGTGCCTTGAGGAACTAACTCAGCCAAATTCACAGGCACCACTTCCATTCAAGGAGGTGAGCACTGCTAAGTATGCCCAGTCTAGTGTGGTGGTGCAGACAACACCCAGTTCATAAAGGGCAGCTCATGTTTCATGAACCCTCGCATGCTGAGGACCCAAGATTAAGTCAGATGCTAGGATGTGGAAGAGGGCTTGCTTTTGCTCCAAAACTCTGGGGACCTGTGCCGTGGCTCTTCTACTAGCTACCCAGTGTCTCCACACAGCTTTCTGATGTACCACAGACATTTTAGGCAACATTGGATCTAGTCAGCAATGTCTCAAGCAGCCTTATGGCCTTGCTTTGGTTCCCACTTGAAAGTGGGGAAATATGCGCAGACGGAGCCTAGAGATGAACTTTGAGTAAGATGTTATTTATGTTCTTTTTTTTTTGAGATGGAGTCTTGCTCTGTCGCCCAGGCTGGAATAGTGGCACGATCTTGGCTCACTGCAACCTCCGCCTCCCGCCTCCCGGGTTCAAGCGATTCTCCTGTCTCAACCTCTCGAGTAGGTGGAACTACAGGCGCCTGCCACCATGCCTGGCTAATTTTCGTATCTTTAGTAGAGCCAGGTTTTTACCTTGTTGGTCAGGCTGGTCTCAAACTTCTGACCTCAAGTAATCCACCTGCCTTGGCCCCACAAAGTGCTAGGATTGCCGGCATGAACCACTGTGCCCGGCCACGTCATTTATGTTCTAAGCCCCATAAGCTCCACCCTGACTTGTAGATCGCAATGATGTCTTGTATGTTACCCTAAAGGTTTGGGTGTTTTCATTTCCCCATTGCACTGTCACGATGATAAATGGCTGAGATTCCTTTTGAAAGCTAGGAGGAAGATTCGCGGCACATCCTGGTGGTGGTGGTGGATCTTGCTGCCTTCCCTTCATTTCTAGGTCTGTGAACAGGTTCGGGCCTGGGAATTAGGTGAGAGTCTGTGGCAACTCAAGTCAGCTCTCTGTTCAACCACCTGGATATTTTCACTTATATAGATCAAGTAAGATTTTAGTGGTTAATTGATTAATGATTAATTAGCCATAGCCAAAGAGCCCTGATTACAGCTCTGGTCGTGATGCCCACATCGATAATCATGCCTGTCTTGTCTCTGGAGGGAAAGCCCTACCACCTACCTACTGTTTCCTGAAGATTCCACCATGCCCACTGAAATCAGGAAGCTCATTTCAATGGTCAGATCATCCACCATTGCATTTAGCAAAGAGCTGCTACAGAGCTTTTCAACGATGCTGGTCCTCTCCCTTCTAATGCCTTGATGAAGACAGTTTCAATGGAACCTTCTGGGAGGACGTAATGAAAGAGTGAGTGAGCAAGTTGCACATATTAAATCCATTCCAACATAACTCTCTTCCTAAGTCTTTTGATTTTTTTCTTCCGCTTATACTAATGAAATACTGGGATCTCAACTTTATTTAGTGTAGGCCACCACTAAGTCCACATTTCAAGCAACCGAGAGAACTATTAGTGCAACTCACACCTACTTGAGCTAATGTTTTGAATCTAGAACATGTGATAAGTTCACCCATGTATTTGTTTTCTATCAGTGATAACTTACTACAAATGCAGCAGCTTAAACCAACACCCATTTATCAGACCACAGTTCTATGAGGCGGGTCTGGGGCCAGCATGACTGACTCCTTTGCTCAGTCTCACAGGTTAAAATGAAGGTGTTAGTTGAGCTGCATCCTCATCTGGAGGCTGGCATCTCTTTCAAGCTCACGTGGTTGTGGCAGAGTCCAGTTCCTTGTGTTTAGAGTTGAGGCCCCTGTTTCCTTGCTCACTGTCATCTATGGTTGTTTTCAGCCCCTAGATCTGACTCAACGCATGGAGCTGGAGGCCACGAGGGGCATTGTAATAGGGCCTGTGGTAGGCAGAATAACAGCCCCTCAAAAACATCCACGTTTCAATTCCCAGAACCTGGAAATATGTTACTTTATATGGCAAAAGGGACTCTGCATGCATGATCGCATTAAGGATCTTGTAATGGGGAGATTATCCTGGATTATCTGTATGGGCCCAATGTGATCACAAAGGTCCTTATAAGAGGGAGATGAGAGGCCGGGCGCAGTGACTCACACCTGTAATCTCAGCACTTAGGGAGGCTGAGGAGGGTAGATCACGAGGTCAGGAGTTCGAGACCAGCCTGGTCAAGATGATGAAACCCTGTCTCTACTAAAAATACAAAATGTAGCCGGGTGTAGTGGTGGGTGCCTGTAATCCCAGCCTCTCAGGGGGCTGAGGCAGGAGAATGGCTTGAACCCAGGAGGTGGAGGTTGCAGTGAGCCAAGATTGCACCACTGCACTCTAGCCTGGGCAACAGGGCAAGACTCAATCTCAAAAAAAAAAAAAAAAAGAGGGAGACAGGAGTCAGAGTCAGAGAGATTTGAAGATGCTGCGATGCAAGCTTTGAAGATGGAAGAAGGGGCCACAAACCAAGGAGTGCTGGAAGCCTCTAGCGGTGGAAAAGGTGAGTAAACAGATTCTTCTCTAGAGCCTCCAGAAGGACCACAGACCAGCTGACACCTTGACTTTAGCCCAGTAAAACCTATTTTAAACTTCCGATCTCCAGAACTGCAAGATAATATATTTGTGCTATCTTCAGCCTGAATTTGTGGTAATTTGTCACGCAGCAATAAGAAACTAATACAGGGCCTGAGGAAAATCTGTGTCCCCTTGCCAAGGGAGTGCTGTGAGGGCGTCACTATAGGGTCTTCAGGCAAGAGAAAGTGACTTCCTCACAGAGGGGAGGAGGGGCTACTTCTGCTGGCAAGGAAAGCTCTGCGGGATTTGGAGGTTCAAAGTTTTTCAGACTCATCAAAATCTACCCAGGTGTCTCCACTCCAATTCTGGGCTTCCGTTAACAAATATTCCAAATGTCACACACGAGACTGGCAAAGATATAAATGCAAGTTGAATATAATTCTCCAATCTGCAGAATCAAACTGTGGGTCTGGTTTTTTCATACATAGTCCCTGTGGCTTTGAGAGATAAGCATGTCTTTTAGAATATTCAGAGAAAGCTCTGTGTTCGCTGGCAATGCCTTGACTGAGGATGCAGCAGAGGGGTCATTTTTTTCCTGTAATCTCCCAGTGCAGCCACCCACAGTCCCGGCAGTCAACACTCCCAGCTTCACGATCTGTCACAGCGACCACCTGGGCTCCCGGCCCTTCCCTTCAACAATTGCTTTATTCCAGGCACCACCACAGGTGATAACTTAAGTCACTTTTTCTATCTTTTGCTGTGTAATACAAAGACTTCATTTTATACTAGCATGAGGTCGCCCCTGCCCTCAAGCCTAATGGGTCAGGGAACCAATCCCAGATTGCCACCTTTGAACGTCAATTTTCTGAAACCTCTTGTTATACCAAATACTGTAACAGTCAGAGTTCACTTATGAAAACAGAAACCACTTTGGATATTTCAAGCATAAAAGGATTTAGTACAAGAAGTAGATGTTTATAAAACCACTCGAAAAGGTGGTGTGCCGCCCATTGCTTCCCATTCTATACACAGTGATTCACGCTGGTCACACGCAGTCAGCTCTGGCGGGTGCATTTGCACCACGAGAAGTGAGTTGTTAAACATTTACCAGCACACACGCTGCAGGGGACCTAAGGAGAGTGATGGCACTGGAAAGAGGAATGCTCCTGCTTCTAATCCTCCTTGATAGAGGCGCTCCCCTTTTGTTTTTGAAGAATTTATAGAAGCTTTTCCACCGGGGAGCTTCAGCTAGGTCTTCTCATCAGTGCTGTGTGCCAGACAAGCCAGATGATCAAGGAAGTACCTACACTTTGGACACTGTCAGTTTGCCTGGGGACTGAGAGCTTACAGTCCAAGCTTGCTTCAACTCTGGCTGAGGCCAACAGAGAGAGCCCAAAGACAACTGAAGGAGCGGCAGAAAACAAATATGGGAACGGGGTAATTGGCTTCCAGTTCCTTCATTCGCAGGTCATGAAAAAAACCTGGGGCTAGACTCCATGAGAGTTTTTTTGTTTTCTGTTTTGTTTGTTTGTCTGTTTGTTTGTTTGAGACTGAGTCTCGCTCTGTCACCCAGGCTGGAGTGCAGTGGCGCGATCTCGGCTCACTACAAGCTCCGCTTCCCAGGTTCACGCCATTCTCCTGCCTCAGCCTCCCGAGTAGCTGGGACTACAGGCGCCCGCCACCACGCCCTGCTAATTGTTTTGTATTTTTCGTAGAGACAGGGTTTCACTGTGTTAGCCAGGATGGTCTCGATCTCCTGACCTTGTGATCCACCCGCCTCAGCCTCCCAAAGTGCTGGGATTACAGGCGCGAGCCACCGTGCCCGGCCTGTTTTCTGTTTTTTTGAGACAGGGTCTTGCTCTGTTGCCCAGGCCCTTGAACTATTCCACTTCCCACTCCTCCCCAGGCCCTTCCTAATGGGACTAAGTCATCCTCCACCCTCACCTACCTTCTGGCTGCTGTACCCTCCTCTCTAAGCTTGGGGATTCTGCCACTGCTCACAGCTGGAAGAACAACAGCCTACATGTCCAGGCCTTGCCCAGTCCAGATGATGCTTTAAAGGCCTTCTTCTTCTTCCTTTTTTTTTTTTTTTTTTTTTGAGATGGAGTCTCACTCTGTTGCCCAGGCTGGAGTGCAATGGCGTGGTCTCAGCTCACTGCAACCTCTGCCTCCTGGGCTCAAGCGATTCTCCCGCCTCAGCCTCCCAAGCAACTGGGACTACAGGCATGTGCCACCACACCAAGCTAATTTTTGTATTTTTAGTAGTGATGGCGTTTCACTATGTTGGCCAGGCTGGTCTCGAACTACTGACCTCGTAATCTGCCTATCTTGGCCTCCCAAAGTTCTGGGATTACAGGCATGAGCCACTGTACCCGCCCTAAAGGCCTTCTTTGAAAGAGAAAAAGAAGAGGTGGCATTCTGTGAAGGAACATCAAGGACCAGACATCCAGCTTCCCCTGCAGCCCAGGTCCCCCTAGCGGTGCTTCTCTTCAGATTGAGGACCTATTCTTTGGAGTTCCGAATTCCTAGTAGTCCAGCCCTCAGATCTCCACCTTGAGACTCCACCCTCAAGATTCTCATTTTCTGCCTTTCCCTTCTAAGGCTTAATCCCATCGGGACTAAGGGAGGAGCCTTCCCTTCCAGCCTCACACAGGCAGACTATCTCAAAAGAAAGAGAAAGCAATTTTCCCTTGCATGCTGGCTGTTTCACTTCCTTCTACTTTTAGGAAATGGTGAGTGATTTTGTTTAAAAGAGAATAATCTTGGAGTTTGAGTAGAGTTTGGGGAAAGTGTTGACAACTTCTGGGACACACACTCTGTCCTTGTTGCCCCCATTCTCTTCAAGGCAGGAGGGATGATTATTTTGCTTCTTTCTCTCCAATGCAACCCAGCATCTGTCCTCCGTTCTGTTCTCAGTGGCAACTCTTCTGCCCAGAAGATGGACCTATTTACTCTATAATACATCATTCCCAGATATAGGCGCATTAGAGTTGGAAGAGAACTTGAATTAGTGTCTGACCACCCGTAATAGGCAGGGATCTATTTCCAGCGTCTCTGACAGCAGTCATCTAGCCTCTAATTAAACACTTCATGAGACATTGCTGTTCCACACTCACGCAGATTTAATTCTCTCTAGAATCTGCCCCAGCATGGCTTTGACTCTTGTGTTTTATGCCCCTGACCAACACAAAACCAGTCTATTCCCTCTCCACAGGCCAGCTTTTCATCTCAACTTCTCACTTAGTTTCTCTCTTGGCTCTGACCCTAACCTAAGGCATCGACACACAGTTTTGGGATTCTTCCCTCAAATCTAAATTGGCAATCCTTATGTTAGTCCAGACAACACCAAGGCAAGAACATATGTGGAGGGTGAAGGGCAGCACCTACATCCAGGGAGAGAACAGGGCCATCGATGAGGAGAGGGTCTATAGGGATCTGGGAGGTCAAGGGCTTGGTTGTTAATGGGATGGAAAATCAGAACAGGGTAGAAAATAGGCATGACAGGGAAAGAAGCTCAGTCTCACCTTAACTCTAACTGATCCAACAAGAAAGCTGAGCCACTTTCCTGAATCCCAGAAGATCTTATTTCTTCAAGCTGACATGACTGATTCTTTACTAGTCCATGTGTCAAGACCATCTGGGGTCCCTTAAACCAGTGGCTCCCAAACTATTTTTTTTTTTTGAGACAGAGTCTTGCTCCGTCGCCCAGGCTGGAGTGCAGTGGCGTGCTCTCAGCTCATTGCAACCTCCACCTTCCAGGCTCAAGCGATTCTCGTGCCTCAACCTCCCGAGTAGCTGGGATTACAGGTGTGCACCACCATGCTTGTCTAATTTTTTTGTATGTGTAGTAGAGACAGGGTTTCTCCATGTTGTCCAGGCTGGTCGAGACTCCTGGCCTCAAGTGATCCTCCTGTCTTGGCCTCCCAAAGTGCTGGGATTACAGGTGTGAGCCACTGCGCCCAGCCCCAAACTTTTGTGTTCAGAAGAATTACCCGATGTAGTAAAAATGCACATCATGGTCCCCTCCCAAACCGATTCCGCTTGATTATCTGCCCCCTAGAGGAAGGGCACAATACTGTTTGGAGAGGAGCTTGATGGGCCTTCAACTTTTCTCTTACGTTCTTTAGTCGGAGAGTATCATGAATAGTTAAAAGAATAACACCATCCCCTGTAAACCCTGGTCTTGTAACTCCCCCATACCTGGGATATGGAATAATGCATGGGTTAAGGGCTTTAGGGGCTGGCTCTGGGGTCAGACTGCCTTGATTTAAATCGTTGTTCCACTACCTACTAACTGTCTGACCTGGAACTAGCTGCTTAACTTCTCTAAACCTCAATTTACCTATCTATAAAATGGGGGTAATATTAGTTTCTATCTCAAGGAGGTATTGTAAGGATTTTAGTACTAATTTATATGTGGCACTTAGCACAGTGCCTGGAATATAGTGAGCATTCTTAAATGACAGCCACTATTATTATCACTAGTATTACTCATAGTAGCGGTAGTGGTGAACAAAACCAAATTTCCAGTGGAGCCAACCAGCCACCCTTTCTTAACCAGCTGTAACTTCCAGTGAAATCACCACGATCATCCCCCCAGATTAACCCCACCTTCCAGTGGAATCACTGTGACCACCCCTCCAGGATCAACCACACCATCCAGCGAAATTACTGTGAACACTGCCCTGGACCAACCACACCTTCCAGTGGAATCACCATGACCACCCCTCCAGGATCAACCACATTATCCAGCAGAATCACCGTGACCACGCTCCCTGGACCAACCACACCTCCCAGTGGAATCACTACAACCCCCCTGCCCTGGGTCCACTATATCTTCCAGTGGAACTAACACAACAACCGCAACCTCCAGTGTCACCAGCACAAGTGCAGCCCCTCCAGGGAATGAGGGAAGGTCTAATGGATGCCTGAGGCTGTGGGAAGTCATCCTAGTCACTCTGGCCTTGGTTGCAATGGCTGTGATTCTCTTCACAGGGCTCTTTTATTTCATGAGTGCCTGATGTGTGGGAAATCCTTTTTCTGAGGGAGGGAGTGCAGGGAACTGAGGAGGGAAGCAGGGTAGAGAGAGTAGGGTCATTGTGTGGCTAATAGGGAATGAGAAATCAGGAGAGGGACAAAGCAAGACAGAGACAGCAGGTGAGAACCAGCAAGAGAGAGGGCTAGAAAAGCTGGTACATGTTCAGAGGAAATTGATGAGGAGAGAAGGGGCCAAAGGAGTACTGAGGCTGGGGAGGCCGAATGGGGAGTGGGGACACGTGGGATGGGAGAGCACTGGAAGAGGGGCATAACTCTGAACCATCCATCCTTTTGTTTTCTAGAGAAACTCTCTGTGCCTAAGAAACCTCTTCACCAAAGATCTTCACATCCCAAACCTTGGTCCATGTCCTCAAGGATATCATGGAGTCCAAGATGGGTCAAGTGAGACTGAAACGGATTTTAGAGACCAGTGTTCTCCCACAGGCATGGAGCTGATGAGGAGACACAGTGTCCCTAAAGGCAGGCACTTCACTGTCCTCAGGGTGGGGAGGACCAGCGGTCTCGGTTTTCCTCACTTGCCCCCAGGGCTGCTCCTCCCAGCTCTGCTCCAGCCCCTGACACTCCTACCTTCTGTTTAGTTCTCCCAGACCTGAAACAGGAGGCTATCGCTAGTGCTGAATGATTAAATAAGTGCATCTGCTCTATGTGACAGCCAGACTGTGGGTGTGTGCTTGTATATTGCTGTGAAGAGAGGTTTCCTATATCATGAGGACACTCTTTCGCTGTGACCTCCCAGTTCTCAAATCCTAGCATGAAATCCAGAGACCTCACATCTGTCCCATTTTCTTCCCCACTCCTTCCCTGCTCCCCGAGGCCTCTGGGTCGATGGAAGAACGGAGTCAGGAGAGATGGGGGAAGGCAGGTGCTGGTCTTTACAGACGTGTGTTGCATGGCAGGAAAACAGCCTCTGCGTGAGCCTAGAACATGAACTGGAGGAAAGTGATCCTGTTTTCATGTTGTGAGGTAGGAAAGAGCTTGCTACTGGGGCCACCCTTAGACATGGCCACTTTTCCTGGCCACTCACGTCTGCTCTGGGCTGCAGGTGTGAGTTGCCACCTTTCTCTCCTGTGGGCTCCCAGCCCAGCAACTGTCCTGGGCAGGGAGAATGTGCTCCCAGTTTTTGCAAGGGCAGGACTGGCTTGCCCTGCTACGGTCTAGATCCTCAGCAGCTCCCCCAAAACCAGGCCTCAGAGGGCACACATGCCAGTGTCAGCACCATGCTCAGGCCTGGTCCCACCCAGGCTTCTGGTGCAACTTGCTCTCGCACTCGCACACGCACCCCACTGATTCTTCCTCCCTGTGAATCACTCGCCTCTGCTTTATCAGTTTCACCCTCTGCTAAGTCTCTTCAGCTTCTGGGATTCTCCTGGGTCTTTGGGAGAGCCTTAACAGGACCAAGCTGTTTCTCTAAGAACATTTTACAATATGATGAACAAAACTGTTTTTAGGCTGGGTGCGGTGGCTCATGATGCCTGTAATCTTAGCATTTTGGGAGGCTGAGGCGGGCGGATCGCCTGAGGTCAGGAGTTCAAAACCAGCCCTGCCAACATGGCAAAACCCCGTCTCTACTAAAAATACAAAAATTAGCCGGGTGTGGTGGCACATGCCTGTAGTTTCAGCTACTCGGGAAGCTGAGGTGGGAGGATTGCTTGAACCTGGGAGGCGGAGGTTGCAGTGAGCAGAGATTGCGCTACTGCACTCCACTGTGGGCAACAGAGAAAGACTCTGTCTCCAAAACAAAACAAACAAAAAACATAACAACAACAACAAAATCTATTTTTAACAGATGCAAGAGAGTATCTACTGTACAATTTATTTGCATGAAATTCAACAATAGGCAAAACTAATCTATGGTGGCAGAGATCAGATCTCCTATGAGGGTGAGGGTTTTTAGGAAGGGGGCACTTTCTGGGTGATAGGAATGTTTTCTATATCAACTGGTCTGTTGGTTACACAGGTAAATACACTTGTCAAAACTCAGCTAACAGCTGGGTGTGGTGGCTGACGCTTGTAATTCCAGCACTTTGGGAGGCTGAGGTGAAAGGATTGCTTCAGCCCAAGAGTTTGAGACCAGCCTGGGCAACATGGCAAGACCTCATCTCTACAAAACATACAAATATTAGTCGGGTATAGTAATGCACACCTGTAGTTCTAGCTACTTGGGAGGCTGAGGTGGGATGATTGCTTGAGCCCAGGAGGTCAAGGCTGCAGTGAGCCGTGATGGTGCCACTGCACTCCAACCCGGGCAACAGAGTGAGACCCTGTCTCAAAAAAACAAAACAAAACAAGAAACCTCCACTAACTGAATTCTTAAGATCTGTGCATTTCACTTTTTGTAAATTTTACCTCAATAGGAAGAAAAAATGTATATTCGGGTTTTTTATTTTGGGATTTTTTAATTTTTATTTTTATATTAGGGTTTTAAAATAATACCTTGAAGATATTTATCAGTGTATCCATTATCTCCTCTTCAGTTTTAAGAGCCCCCAGACCTTTTCGTAAAATAATTATCATCTTTTGCACTCATTTTTTCATTCATTCATTCACCATATTTACTGGACACCTGCTTGGCATGAGGTCTCAAGGAGCTGGGGCAGCTAGGATGACCCTGTAGGTCACAGTTGGGTGAGGGAGGTACATAAGTTACAGGCCAACGCATCAAGTAGTATGAATGGAAGCACCACAGGAGGAAACATCTAACTTGATGAGGGGAGGAGAGGCTGACTCACATAGAAGGTGACATTTGGATTTTGAGGAGTTAGCAGGCATTTACGAGGAGCAGAAGAGGAAATGCCAGGCAAGCAAGCAGCTTGTGCAAGACTGGGCATGGCACGGCCAGTGAAGGTCAGAAGACCTGTGGGGCTGGAGAGCACAGCAGAGGGAGCTGGGGCTGGGGGCTAATGCGTGGCTTTGAACACCACTCCAAGGAGGCCAGATTTCATCCTTTAACAGCACAAAGCCCACAGATCACTTTAAGGTGTAGTGGGACACAATTTTTTCCCCAATAAGAACACTTCAATCAGCTGAGTGAGTAGAAAATAGAGGCTGGAAACCAGCAAAAATGGTGTTGTAATGCCCCTGCAAAGAAAGAAGCAAATAGACAAATCTAAGACCACAAAACATGGAAATGGGAAAGAAGAAAAGAAGTGGAGGCTGGGCACAGTAGCTCATGCCTGTAATCCTAACACTTTGGGAGGCCAAAGTGGGAAAACTGTTTGAGCCCAGGAGTTTGAGACCAGCCTGGGCAACAGAGTGAGGTCCTGTCTCTACAAAAAGTTAAAAAGATTAGCCAGGTGTGGTGGTGCACACCTGTAGTCCCAGCTGAGGTGGGAGGATAACTTGAGCCCAGGGGGTCAAGCCTTCACTGAGCTGTGATTGCGCCACTCACTCCAGCCTGGGTAACAGAGTGAGACCCTGTCTCAAAAAAAAAAAAAAAAAAAAAAACGAAAACGAGAAGAAATGTGAATTTCAAGAGATTTCTGCCTAGCACTTTTTTAAAAATCCCCAACTCCAGAATTTATGGTGACTTTTGTTAAAAGTCCTGTTTTAGGGAGGTCTTCATCTAACGAGCTCTAGGCAATTTTCTTAAAACTAATTCATCAAATGACTAATTCTTTGAATTTTTAAATTTTGTTTAAATCCTATTCAGTGTGATTCCCTCCTGCTGCAGGCTGGAGGCTGGGAGACAGAGGGAGACTGGGGAATGTCTTCTTGATTTATAGCATGTTTTCTAGTTAAGAAAATACTCAAGATAAATATATTTATTTATAACAATTTTCACATGAAAGACTTTATTCAAAAATATGTGCAAGAAAAAATTATTTATTCTTGACTCTGATGAATAATTGCAAATATGATTCCTATGAATAGTATATAAATTATATCTAAAACTATAAGGCTACAGACTATACGATTCCCTTCATATGACATTCTGAAAATGGCAAAATTATAGGGAAAGAAACAAGATCCATGTTGCCAGGGTTTGGGAAGTGGGAGAAGGGTTGGCTCTAAAGGAACGGCATGGGGGGAGATTGAGGAGGATGAAGGGATTCAGTGCGCCGAATATGTGACTCTACCATTTATCAAAATCCATAGAACTGTACACTACAAAAAGTGATTTTTAGGGTATGGAAATTCAGCAAATCAACCAGGATGTGGAGGGAAAGATGGAAAGCAGACTCTGACAAATGACTCATGTAAGCACAGTGAAACGGATGGAGAAGAAGGAGCTGGCCTAAGTAACTTTGAAAAACTGTTTTGAGTCAGGCATGGTGGCTCATGCCTGTAATCCTACCACTTTGGGAGGCCAAGGCAGGAGGCTTGTTTGAGTCCAGGAGCTTGAGATCAGCCTCAGCAACACAGCGAGAACCCCGCCTCTACAAAAAGTTAAAAAAATTAGCTGGGCATGATGGTGTGCCTGTAGTCCTAGCTGCTCAGGAGGCTAGGATGGAGGGATCGCTTGAGTCCAGGAGATCAAGGCTGCAGTGCTACTGCACCCCAGACTGGGTGACAGAGCAAGACCCTGTCTCAAATTTAAAAAAGAAAAAGAAAAGAAAAACTGTGTTTTGACCATAAAGCTAAAGACAAAAAAAAAAAAAAAATACAGAAACACTGTACTGTAGTTGGTAAATGTGTTTCTGGCAAGGGTATGAATTAGCAGTTCTGAAACCACTATTTGTTTATTAGGGTTGAAAAAATAAGTAAAAAAATATGTTTATAGACATTCGTAGCCATGTCAGAGAAAGGAGTTACAAATAAAGAAAAGGGAGAGACTAGAATGAACCCCATGTTGCTGGATTAAAGCTGGAGGTGTCAAAATGCACCCATGCTTGTGTTTAAAACACAGGTTGAGCAACCCTCATCTGAAAATCCAAAATGCTCCAAAATCCAAAACTTGCTGAGCACCAACATGACACCACAAGTCAACATACACAAACTTTGTTTCATGCACAAAATTATTTAAAATATCACGTAAAGTTACCTTCAGGCTACATGTATAAGATATATATAAAACATAAACAAATTTCATGTTTAGACTTGGGTCTCATCCACAAGATATCTCATTGTGTATATACAAATATTTCGAAATCCAAGAAATTGAAAATCCAAAACACTTACGGTCTCAAACATTTCAGATAAGGGATTCAATCTGTATATGCAGACAGGTAATTGCAGAAATAAATACAGACCTGTGTTTATGCATGAGTTAGTTTACATACATACGTTTCCTAGCTCTAACTTCCGTGGGGGCAAGAAGCAGTGACACCCACTATGAATGAGCACACCTAGTACCCAAATCTTGGTTTCTAAATATTATTCTCTAATACAAAGAGGAGCCAGAGCTCTGTGGAGAAATAGTTGATTCCAGGGCCTGGATGGACAAAATAAAAAATGAGCATGAAGCATCTTGTAATACCAGAATGCAAGAAAGTGTTTTAAAAAGGGATGGAGAGGGCCATGCACAGTGTCTCATGCCTGTAATCCCAGCACTTTGGGAGGCCCAGGCCTGGGGATCACCTGAGGTTCGTGAGTTGGAGACCAGCCTGACCAACTTGGAGAAAACTCTCCCTACTAAAATAATACAGAATTAGTTGGGCATGGTGGTGCATGCCTGTAATCCCAGCTACTTGGGAGGCTGAGGCAGGAGAATCACTTGAACCCAGGAAGCAGAGGTTGCAGTGAGCCGAGATTGCACCATTGCGCTCCAGTCTAGGCAACGAGAACGAAATTCCATCTCACACAAAAAAAACAAAAAAACAAAATACCACGGATGGAGAGGCTGGGCACAGTGGCTTGAGCCTGTAATCCCAGCACTTTGGGAGGCCAAGACAAGTGGATTGCTTGAGCCCAGGAGTTTAAGACCAGCCTGAGCAATATGACAAAACTTTGTCTCTACAAAAAAAAAAAAAGTTAGCTGGGTGTGGTGGCGCACACCTGTTGTCCCAGCTACTTGGAAGGCTGTGGTGGGAGGATTAGTTGAGCTCAGGATACGGAGATTACAGTGAGCCAATATTGCACCACTGCACTCTAGCATGGGCAACAAAGTGAGACCCTGTCTCAAAAAACAAAACAAAATAGCAATGGAGATATCAGCTGGGTGTGCTGGTGCATGCCTGTAGTCCTAGCTACTTGTAGGAGGCTGAGGCAGGAGGATCCCTTGAGCCCAGGAGTTTGAGGCTGTATGATGATGCCACTGCAATTCAGCCTAGGAAACGCAGTGAAGTCTTGTCTCATAAATAAAACAAAACAAAAAAAGGATGGAGGACATTAAAACGGCACTGGAGCCCATCTGAAAGAGCTCCCAGTGGCCAAAGTTTGAGCAACAAAATAAATAGTGATAGTATTGGATCATAACTCACAGAACAAAATAAACATTTATGAGTCCATTCTGATATAAACAAATAGTTGAATAAATAAAATGGGGAGAGGGCACGACTTTTTCTTACAGAAGAATTTCAATTAATAAATGTAGAAGGAATCTAATCTATCACCATTAGGATTACACACCTGTAATCCCGGGTGCTCGGGAGGCTGAGGCAGGAGAATTACTTGAACCTGGGAGGGGAAGGTTGCTGTGGGCTGAGATCGTGCCATTGCACTCCAGCCTGGGCAGCAAGAGTGAAACTCTGTCTCAAAAAAATATATATAGTATTGTACCAACAATAACTTCTTAGCTTCTATAATTGTATATATAATCTCTCAGTTTCTATAATTGTACTATGTAAGATATTGACATGAGGAAAAGCTAGGGGAAAAATATACGGGAACTCTGTTAATTATTTTTGTAATTCTCTGTAAGTCTAAAATTATCTCAAAATGAAGTTTTAAAAATTCTAAAACAAAGCCAAACCAAAAAAATTCTATTGACCTGTACATGAAAAAGGGTGAATTTTATCATATGCAAATTATACCTCTTGACTTAGAAAATCAGATATTTTCCTTACTATACTCTTTTGAAATCTATTCATTAGTTATACTAAATACATACAAATTCTTTTGAGTGTGTTTAAATACTATGTTTGAAAATGTTGCTGGGTGATGTGGCTCACACCTGTAATCCCAGCACTTTGGGAGGCTGATGAGGGAGGATCTCTTGAGCTCAGGAGTTCGAGACCAGCCTGGGCAACATAGTGAGACCTTGTCTCTACTAAAAATAAAAAAACAATCAGCTGGGCATGGTGGTGCATGCATATAGTCCCAGCTACTCCGGAGGCTGAGGTGGAAGGATCACTTGAGCCTGGGAGATCGAGGCTGCAGTGAGCCGTGATAGCACCACTGCACTCCAACCTGGGCAATACAGCAAGACCCTGTCAAAAAGAAAGAAAGAGAGAGAAAGAGAAAGAGAAAGAAGGAAAGAAAGAAAGAAAGAAAGAAAGAAAGAAAGAAAGAAAGAAAGAAAGAAAGGAAGGAAGGAAAAGAGAAAATATTTAATACATTCAAATAATACTAGTAGTTAACATAGTCAGTTACATGTGGTAAACTAGCCATTCATTAAATTGATTTTCAGGAAATCAGCTGCCTTCTAAGAGAGGAACAATTCCCGGCCCACCTGCAATTTCACACTCCTCTTTTAGTTAGAAGGACACTGGGAAAGAGAGAGGCCCCACAAATGGTGAGAGACATCTCTGAATGAAGATGGGAACCAACAATGATCTTCTAAAGAGTGGGCAAGGCAGGGATAAGGGTCAGAGAAGGAGGAAAAGATGTGGGTATTCTCATTCAGGCCTGACCTCACCACAAGTGGACTAATTTTGTGCAGTGATATGGCTTGGCTCTGTCCCCACAGAAATCTCAACTTGAATTGTAGCTCCCACAATTCCCCTCATGCTGTGGGGAGTTTTTCTCTTTTCGCCAATCATCTTTCTCTTGCTATTCTCATGACTGTGAATAAGTCTCATGAGATTTGATGGGTTTATCAGGGGTTTCCGCTTTTGCTTCTTTCTCATTTTCTCTTGCCGCCACTGTGTAAGAAGTGCCTTTTGTCTCCCTCCGTGATTCTGAGGCCTCCCCAGCCATGTGGAACTGTAAGTCCAATTAAACTTCTTTTTCTTCCCAGTCTTGGGTATGTCTTTATCAGCAGCGTGAAAACAGACTAATACATGCAGTAATTGAGAAAGCTCACTGGGGTGAGGGCACTCGAGCAGGGGGAGCAAGGAGAGAGATCCGTGGGCTGGAGAGAAGCCAAGGAAGAGGATTTGGGTGGATGATTGAGCAAAGAGTGAGGTTTTAAGAGACAGAGAGATTGGGTGTTTTAGCCCCCTCATGAGTGTTCCTCTCCTTCTGTTGGAGGACCTTCTCTTGGTCCTTACCAAATGTCCTCTACCCTCTGACACCCAGCTCTCCTCCTGCCAAGCATCATCCCCCAGGCAGGCCTGGCCTATGCCCTCCTTGGTCATCCTGACTTTACTGTGGCCACCTGTGGGAAGGAAGGCCGAGGCCCTCCCTGAGCACTGAAACACCGGGTGGAGGATGGTTTTCAACTAGGCTCCACATCAGAAAGCAGTGCACTCACGCTGACAGGCTTGATCCCCTGTGGCTGCTCGACTCTGGGCTCTGGTCCAAAGCTGAGAGCCCCCCTTCCCCTCATGACAGCCTCTTCTGCCCTGCCCGGCCACTCCTTTGAGTGACAGGGGGTAATTGAGAAGCTGCTCCTCCCTCCAGGAAGGAAGACCCGGAGCTCTGGCTTCCCTCGGCAAAGCACATATAAACCCACAGCCACTGCGGGTGGAAGGAGAAGGGCAGGGTGGAAAAAGTTTGAGAGAAGGAGGGAGGAAAAGGTGTCCTGGCTAGCACCATGTGGATTCTCTTGAGATGAGAAGAAAATGCCCCGCTACGTCCCCCTTCTGCTGCTCCTGCTTCTCCTGAGGTGTTCAGAACGGGGTGGAGGAGTTAATTTTGGTGAGAAGGATGCAAAAGTCCCCGGGACCTGGAGAGATGGAGTCAGGGTCCCTGGAGAAGGAGCCTCTTGGGACTCAGACAGGGCCAGTCCCGAGCGAAGGTACGGAATAGGTGAGTGAACCTTGGGAACTCCGGACCCTGTTATCTACCCTCAATCACCTGCCACAGGGAAGCAGGGACCCCAGCGTCTTTCTCATATCCCCTTTTAAGGAAATGCTCTGCTTTTGATTTTGTGCATTTTATTTAAGTTTCTTTGTTTCAACTTTCCTGGAGAAATGAAAAATTTGGCACTCCTCTAATCCCAGCGCTTTGGGAGGATGAGAAGGAGTGGGATCCCTTGAGCCCAGGAGTTTGAGACAAGCCTGGGCGACATAGTGAGACACCATCTCTACAAAAACCAAAAAAATCAGCCAGGCGTGGTAGCCCATGCCTGTAGTCTAATCTACTCGGGAGGCTGAGGTGGGAGGATCACTTGAGGCCAGGAGGCCAAGGCTGCATTGAGCCATGATTGTGCTACTGAACTCTAGCCTGAATCACAGAACAAGACCCTGTGTCAAAAGAGAGAAAGAAAAAGAGAAAGAAAAGAAAGAAACGGTCAGGTGCAGTGGCTCATGCCTGTAATCTTAGCACTTTGGGAGGCTGAGGCGGGTGGGTCATCTGAGGTCAGGTGTTTGAGACCAGCCTGGCCAGCATGGTGAAACCCAGTCTCTAGTAAAAATACAAAAATTAGCTGGGTCTGGTGGCGCACGCCTGTAATCCCAAATACTTGAGAAGCTGAGGCAGGAGAATCGCTTGAACCTGGGAGGTGGAGGTTGCAGTGAGTGGAGATCGCGCTATTGCATTCCAGCCTGGATGACAGAGGGAGACTCCGTCTCAAAGAAAAAAAAAAAAAAGAGAGAGAGGGAAAGGAAGGAAGGAAGGAAGGAAGGAAGACTTGAACCCTATTAGAAAAATGTGGAGCGTCAGCAGTAGGGAGGGATGACTAGATTTGGGCAGAGTACCAAAAGTTCAAAATTTATGCCATGTAAGCTACATGTATTCCTAAGAATAAGAATACTCCCAAGTCCTGACGGCTGCCTGGGGCAGTGAGGGCTGGAGACGAAGAGGACTCATCTCTTCTTTGTACTTATACCTGACTCAGTGTTGCCCTCAGTCCAACTAGATCACACCCACACCCCTCATGACTCCTCCCCTAAGCCTGCCCCCATACCACCTTGAATCTTCCCTGCCTCCAAGCCTACCACGTTAGCCCCAGATCTGACCCAGAAGCTGTCTCATGCTTTTTTTTTCCTTTTTTGAGATGGAGCACCTGGCCAGCTGTCTCATTTTAAATCATATACCAAGCATGACCTGAGTGTAATCTCTAACATGAATCACAGCTTCTGCCTCATTGGTTTGCCAGAACCGCAGGCACAAATGGATGAGAGGAGACACCTATGAACATGGAGCCAGAATACCCCAATTGCTGAAACACCAGTTCAGAGAGGAGTGAGCTTGAGAAAGAGTCAGGTTTAGTGTCCCACGGAAAGAGACCAGACCTGGAAAAGACAGAGTCAAAGCTGGGTGAGCAGGCCTTCGAAGGGCGTGGCTCAGCAAAGATAATCCATATTGTAGTGCAAGAGGATTCTTGTGGAATATGTTTTACCAGAATTAAACCAAAAATGCCAAATGATCCCTAACTGGAATAAATCTCACCACATTACCTGGGGAGAGGTGTCATTTGGATGTGAGGATAGTTATGAAAATACTGAGCAGAGCAGATGAGGATAGGCCATCAACAATTCACATTAAATGAGATTACTTTTTAGTAGGACTAAGCCAAAGCATTTCCACTAAGCACCCAGAGACCAGCCCTAAAGACTCAAGAATAAGAGAAAATGATGTAACTGCAGATGGAAGGACCACTGAGGACCACATCACTGCAGACCCAGGGACCACCGAGGACTCTGTCACTGCAGACCCAGGGACCACTGAGGACAATGTGACTGTGGACCCAGGGACCACCGAGGGCTCTGTCACTGCAGACCCAGCGACCACCAAGGACTATGTGTCTGCAGACCCAGGGACCACCAAGGATTCTGTCACTGCAGACCCAGGGACCACTCACTGAGAACTTTGTCACTGCAGACCCAGGGACCACCAAGGACTCCATCACTGCAGACCCAAGGACCACAGAGGACTCCGTCACTGCAGACCCAGGGACCACCAAACACTCCATCACTGTAGACCCAGGGACCACTGAGGACTCTGTCACTGCAGACCCAGGGACCACCAAACACTCCATCACTGCAGACCCAGGGACCACCGAGGACTCCGTCACTGCAGACCCAGGGACCACAGAAGATGAAACCACTAAACATGGTGACACTCACCTTCTGTGAACTACTTCAGTCACAGCAGTGAAACCCACCAGGCTCCTGACACCCATGGGAATTATCCTCATATCCCTGGCTGCAACCACAGTCACTGTTGTGCTCTTTGTTGGATTGGGCTTCATTGTGGTGAGTATTTGGTCTGGGAATATTCAGGGCATCAGGGGAACGAGGCCAACTGAGGATAAGCGGTGGGCATGGAGAGCTGAGGTACAGAGGCCCAAGAAATCGTCAGGCGTGAGGAAGCCTACATAGAGAGAGCTCTGCAAAGACTCCTGGAAAGACAGAGGTGGAGAGAAAGGAAAAGAGCACCTGGCACAAAAGATGCAGAAAGCATTGGGGACAGAGGAAGCTGTGAGAGACAGGAAGGAGAGAAAGGGAAGAGAGGCTGAGAGTGAGAAACATAAGAACACAAACATGGTAAGACACAGCGGGAGTCAGGGCAAAGCATGAACCGTTAGGTACAGATGGATGTAAAAGAGGAAATTTTCCTAAGAAGACAAGGAACTGGGGACCAGAGGAGTGGATGAATTAGAAACATTCTGGGTGGTCCACTCATATCAGAAATTACATATTCTTGTGTTAATTACTACCTACTCTGAAGTTCTGAAGAAGATTTTTTTAAAACCAAAATTGAGTGGGTTTTTATGAGCCACCACTACCCTGCACCAAAGAGACAGTTTGTACCAGCTCTCAAAGAGGAGCTCTGGGTATTTTTCTGTCTCTGAGGGTCCCTGTTGTTTCTACAAGAGGAGACAAAAGAATTCCATGCCAGCCCTGCATGTTTCATCTCACCAAACTCCCAGCTGGAATCATCCCAAAAGCAGCAGCAGGGAAATTCCCACAGGGAGTGGCCCAAACCCTCCAGAGATGGGGCCAATTGGGATTCCAAAGAAAGAAGCCCAGATGTCAGGGTGATCAATTCAAAGCATTTATTAGGGGAACTTACAGAGGACTGCAGCAATCCTCCCTGCCGACAGGGAGGGAAAAGGGATGTTCTGCCTAAGCATGTCTGTAGCAAGGGGGTCAGGGTATGGAGTTTATATGAGGGTTTAGGGAATTTGACTCAGGGCTGGAGCCAGTTTCTTTCAACGTTTTGGGCAACAACCTAGATACCTTTATTAGTGCCTGGGAGTGTTCAAGGCCCTGGTTTGCGTTCAAGCCTGCTGGGGAAAACCTGCAGCTGGCTGGGTCACAGAACGGTCAAGGCAATCTGTGATTTTTGGTCAGTCTGATCAGAAAGAAAAGGAGGTGATCTGGGGGACCCCACATTGTGGCTTCCTCTCGCTAACATTTGATCTAAAACCCAAGCCTCCTGCTTCTGGCCTGCTGCTTGAGGGGGAAGGGCTGGTCCTTTTTGGCCATCCTGACCTACGGATTAAGTGCATGTCGAAATTTTAACAAGTGGCGGCTTGCAGGATTAGCCAACTCGGGCAGGTCATTAAAGCCTCGTTAATTCTTGCGGTCATTGATGCCATTGTGCACTGACCCCTGCTCCAAGATGCAAATCCACAGCTTTGGATCAGTTTGTAAGTGTGAGTAAAGCCGAAAGTAATGCATGATACAGATGAGGTGTTCACATTTAATTCTGCTAAAATGACACCATGAAACTAGAGCATTCTGAAGGATGCTGACAAGAGGAAAATGGAATGAAAGCGTCCATATGTACCTGACTCATGCATGAGTCATGTTCAGTATTCACCAGTAGAGGGAGGACCTTCTGGACTTCGCTGTTACCATAAACAATTGGATTTCTGATCATGTGGATCACCATGAAAAGTTGGACACTCTTGCTCTAGAACAAAAGATGCTTTCCTTCCTCCAAACCAGGCATTGGCCCAGAGAGGTCACTAGCATTAGCACCTTCTTAATTTCATGTAGAGACTAAAAACAAGAGATGGCTCAAAAGGCTCAGGGTGTGGGAAGTAAGAGGAAAGTCTATGCTCCCAAACTTGCTAAATTTTTGACTTTTAAACCTTTAACTCGAAAAGTTTTAAAAATAAGAACTATATTACCATTCCTCCCAAGTTTCATTTGTCAAAATGCTTTTTTCTTTAAACTTTAATGGTTTAAGTTTTTTTTAAGTTGTTTTAAAAAAAACAAAAAAGGTTTAAGTTTTTTTTGGCAGGGTGCGGTGGCTCACGCCTGTAATCCCAGCACTTTGGGAGGCCGAGGTGGGTGGATCACGAGGTCAGGACTTTAAGGCCAGCCTGGCCAATATGGTGAAACCCCATCTCTACTAAAACTACAAAAAAGTTAGCCAGCCATAGTGGTGGGCACCTGTAATCCCAGCTACTTGAGAGACTGAGGCAGAGAATTGCTTGAACCCGGGAGGCAGAGGTTGCAGTGAGCTGAGATCGTGCCATTGCACTCCAGCGTGGGCAACAGAGCGAGACTCCATCTAAAAAAAAAAAAAACAAAAGGCTTTTTTTTCCCCCTAAATGTCGTCCACATTTTTGGCAAGTATTGATCTCTAGTAGTCAGTGTCAGGATCTGAAGAAAACAGTGACATCTAGCAGACTCCCAGAGCCAGGGAAACAGGCTGGGCAGAAGTGATAAATTACAAACCACCAGGGTTAAGAGAAGAACAGAGTGTTAAAACCAAACCATTTTCTTCCTCCCTAGAAAGAGTGTTTCCTGCCTCCATTAAATCCATCCACCAGGGTTATTTATCATCCCCATGTCATGGACTACAGTACACCATAAAGAGGACCCCAGCAGTGACTACAGTTGGTTCTAGAAAAAGGAGACCCCTCATCCGCCTCTGCAAGACTATGCAGCATGATGTGTATCCTCAGGCCTCCACTCCTCCGCCCTAGTCTGGAGCCCTGGGACCACCACATGAGGAAGGCAGCTGGCCCCTGGAATAAGCATGTGGAGGACACTCAGAAGGATGCCCATCTGCTCTGAGTGTCTCCTAATTCTGCCTGACCTTGGTTACTTCCTCTGGACAATCGCCTTTACCTATCTACCAGGTTTTGAGGAATTACACACAGCTCAGGTATAAGAGATATTCGGTAAGTCTGATCAAATCAATAAAGCAAATTTTATCTGTTTTTGTCTGGGACATATCTCTACATTCATTCATTTAACCAAAAAAAAAAAAAATGTTTTTTTTGAGACGAAGTTTTGCTCTTTTGCCCCGGCTGGAGTGAAGTGGCGCGATCTCAGCTCACTGCAACCTCTGCCCCCCAGGTTCAAGTGATTCTCCTGCCTCAGCCTCCCTAGTAGCTGGGATTACAGGCGCATGCCACCACGCCTGGCTAATTTTTGTATTTATAGTAGAGACAAGGGTTTCACCATGTTGGCCAGGCTGGTCCCGAACTCTTGACCTCAGGTGATCCACCCGCCTTGGCCTCCCAAAGTGCTAGGATTACAGGCATGAGCCACCGCACCTGGCCTTAACAAAATATTTATTCAGTGCCTAGCATGAGCTCAACACTCTACGTCTCCCAGTCTGTCTATCTCAGTCTACCTGTAAGCTGAAGGATACAACTTATCTCTTAAGAGGACTATGCCCGCGTTCTCCTACCACCCAGGCCAAAGGGTCACATTTACAGGATGTAGTCAACTGGTCATTCAGCAAGTATGTATGAGCACCTGTGTGGGACTGGCCACCGTAGCAAATAAATGAGTCTCATCTTAGTCAATCGCGGTGTGAAATGAGGACACGAAGTCCAGACCTAACCTCTAAGAGAAAAGCCCTGCCTGATAGAAGAAGAGATTTGTCCTTACTTAATGCAAATGCACCATATTCATGCACCTATGAATGATGGCTAAGACCACAGACAAGGCCGGGGCATTGGATATAACAGCTCTGTGAGGAGCTCAGGACAAAAACCAAAGAATCAAAGATATGTGAAGACAGTTGATTATTGTTTGCTCACTACTGATGCCACTATGAGCAGCATCACCACCAGTGTTAAATAATGGAATTGTAGTATTATGATACAGAGTCGGAAACACGGAATAATAAATTAAAATACTAAAGTGAAAAAATTGGATTGATTAAATAAATATTAAACCAATATTTCTCAGACTTATGTGATAAACACCTTTAAAGGAAAAGATACATATATATTTTTGAGACAGAGTCTCATTCTGTTGCCCAGGTTGGAGTCCAGTGGTGCGATCTTGGCTCACTGCAACCTCCACTTCCTGGGTTCAAGCGATTCTCCTTCCTCAGCCTCCGAGTAGCTGGGATTACAGGCGTGCACCACCATGCCTGGCTAATTTTTGTATTTTTAGTAGAGATGGAGTTTCACCATGTTGCCCAGGCTGGTCTTGAACTCCTGACCTCAGGTGATCCACCCGCCTTGGCCTCCCAAAGTGCTGGGATTACAGTGTGGGCCACCGTGCCTGGCTGGAAAAGAGATTTTTTGAGAACTCGCCATGTTGGCTTAAACGTAAATATATATGAAACAGAAAATGAAGTATAAACTCCTTATGCTTATAGCTCTACTGTTCCAATAACGTTAGAAGTAACAGCAGTAGTTTAATGTAATGCATGATATTTCTTTACTGAAGAATTCTTCGCTCCAACATTAATATTGTAGTGATTGCTACAGCCTAGTTTCTCAAATCTCATTTGCCACTTGATGTTTTCCTTCTTTCATGGATCGTCTCTGTACAAGCTCTCTCAAGACCTTCAGTCTCTCAGTCAGCTGCGGGATTATTGGGCCCTTAATGCAAATGCACCGTTTAAATTTTAAGACAGTTCTCGTTCTACTCTTGTTAGGCTGTGCAATTGTAAAGACTAATCATTTCTATTAGCTTTATGTTGGTTTTATATTGGTCATCAATAGAATCCAGGAAATGCTTATATTATGGGGATTTTCAAGATTATTACCTGAAGGAAAACGTGACAGAAACAGCTCTAGTCTCCCCTTCCCTTACACTTGGAGAACCTGAGTTTTGGGGGTGATGGTAATGTGCCCAGCTGAAGAAAACCATTTCCCAAATCCCCAATTTCCCGGTCCCCCTTGCAGCCAGTGCAGTGAGGAGATACAGCTCTGGCCAATGTGATAAAGGCATAAGTTCCTGGGGATGGTGTCCCTTCCAGATGAAAAGGCCAAAGCTCATGAGGAGAAAGCCCTTTGCCCCTTCCCCTTCGTTCCTCTTCCTACCTGGAATGCAGATATGAGACCTGGGGCTCAGCAATGCTGAGGTCAGGGGGAGACCCACAGCAGGGTGAAGGCTTCAAGCTGAGAGTGGAGCAGAGGGAAGAAATCACTTGGGTGCCCGATGGCAATACTGAGCCCTGGGCTGCTCCTCTCGGACATTTCGTATATGAGATGAGCAGTGTGCCGGAGCTCAGTGAGGTGAGCTTCTTGTGATTCCAGCTAAATGGGATCCTAAATGATATGACACATAAACATCATCTAGAACATGCAGACTTCTGCGAATATCTCCATGACACATTTGGGAAGACACAGTGCTCAGGATTTTAAGAATGTGGGAGCTACACATAGTGGGGAATGGGAGAATAATAAAATGATCTCCCTCTTCTGCCCCCATGGAGGCAGCAAGTGGCCAAGGGAGAATTTTGTGATTAGAGATACTTGCATGAATATCAGTTTATTGCAGGAAAAAAGAGTGACAGAAGAGTCTCTTGGTTAATATACAGGCAGGAAAAGTCCAATGTGTTTCTATAAAATCTTCCTCCTGAAGTTCAGGCTGGGGTTTGGGGCTGGGCATTTGTCAAAGGGTATTGGCAAGCACAAGGAATTCCAGAATCTGCCTTGGTCTTCAAGGGGGCAGAACTTTTGGTCTCGGTACAAGCTAGGTTTGTGCAATAAACAAAGGAATTGCTAGAGCTACAAATTCTAGCTGAGAAGTCTGTGTGCTTGAGTTTCTGCACCTCAAGGACAACTTAGAGCAATTGAAGAGACCATGAAATCTCTGTAAATGGCATAGAAACTTTAGCATGCAAAAGCATGCATGCAAAAACGCTAGCATATCAAAAGCTTTTCTTTTCTTTCAATCAAGTTAATTTCTGGCCAGGCAGGATGACACACCTGTAATCGCAGCACTTTGGCAGACCGAGGTAGGAAGATCACTTGAGCTCAGAAGATCTACACCAGCCTGGGCAACATGGTGAGACCTTGTCTCTACTAAAAATAAAAAAAAAATTAGCCGAGTGTGGTGGCACATGCCTGTAGGCTCAGATACTTGGGAGGCTAAGGCAAGAGGCTCGCTTGAGCCCAGGAGGTGGAGGCTGCAGTGAGCCATGACTGTGCCACTGTACTCCAGCCCGGGCGACAGAGCAAGATCCTGTCTCAAAAAAAAAAGAAAAAAAGAAAGAAAGAAAGAAAAAGGCTGGGCACAGTGGCTCACGCTTGTAATCCCAACACTTTGGGAGGCTGAGGCAGGAGGATTGCTTGAGGCCTGGAGTTCAAGACCAGCCTGGGCAACATAGTGAGACCTCGTCTCTACAAAAAAATTAAAAATTAGCTGGGTATGGTAGTGTATGCCTGTAGTCCCAGCTACTTGGGAGGCTGAGGTGAGAGGATTGCTTGAGCCCAGGAGGTCGAGGCAGCAGTGAGCTGTGATCATGTCACTGCCCTCCATCTTGGGCAACAGAGAGAGACCTTGTCTCGAAGAGAAAAATAAAAGAAAGAAAATGTTAATTTCTGCTCCTGTCAGATTAGAGGGAAATTCAATCTCAGTCTTTTTGCTGCTCTCCAAAGATCCCAGAGTTGTACATAGGATTGAAGCATAAGGAACATCCTTAAAGTCAGTAGCAACTGGCCTGTACTAATTATTCCCAGGATACGCATATCCCTTTGTGGCAGCAGTTCTGCCAGAGGCACAGGGGCTTTACCCAGTCAGTCTCCTTCAACTTGCCACGTAGCTTTCTCCAGAATAAGTCCACCCCCTCAGGGTGCTACCGTGAAGGAGAGTATGGTTTTGGCATTTGAGAGCCCAGAGAGATATACATGAAGATCTGGTCTCTGGAGAGTATTGAAGGTAGAAAAGACAAGGAGAAGATGCTGCAGAACACCCATAAGGGAAGAAAAAAAAAATGAAGCCTCAATGAATAAGGGAAATACCTTTCTAACCACTCCTGGGACCTGAACTACAAGATTTGGTAGTTGACTCTCAAACCATAATATACTCATACTCAGATGACACTTATAAGTTGTCGCACATATCTGTGCATTCCATGCCTTTGGTAAATGCATACAGTTAATCATACAGCTAATCCTCCTTTTCTCTTTATGAAGTCCAGTGTTTAAAGGACCTCTTCAGGTGTCATCAAGGAGTCATACCAGGTCCAGCTGAACCCAACTTGCACAAGTCCAGATTGAGGACACCAGGCAAGTAAGCACACCCCTCTAGATTGTGCCTGAACAGGATTTATGCCTTTTGGGGAGTGTCACCTCTCATTAAAACGTCTGCGAATGCACACTCTGGTCCAGTCCCCTGTCTTTCTAAACAAGAATGTTTGGTGAAGCAACAGTGATTCAACACTCTCCCTTAGCGAGGTATTGTTTGACACCTTAGAAAACACGTAGTTATTTTTCAGATCTATTCAGGACCTTTCTTGTGATTCATCTAAAACAAACCCCTCTCTTCAGTCTCTACAGATTACCATATTTATTTTCTTTATGGAGCTGACGACAATCTGAACTTATGCTTATTTACGTGTTAACTTATTTGTTTTATGTCTGTCTCCTTCCACTAGAATGTCAGTTCCTTGAGAATAGGGGTTTTGAGGACAATATATGAGATAGATTAGATATTTAATAATCATATGCTTCATTGAGCCTCTGATGCACATCTTCCCCATTGGATCGTAATCTAAAATTGAGATGTCGGATGGGCGTAGTGGCTCACACCTGTAACCCCAGCACTTTGGGAGGCTGAGGCAGGTGGATCACTTGACGTCAGGAGTTGGAGACCAGCCTGGCCAACATAGTGAAACCCCGTCTCTACTAAAAATACAAAAATTAGCTGGGCGCTGGTGGCACACACCTGTAGTCCCAGCTACTCAGGAGGCTGAGGCAAGAGAATCACTTGAACCTGGGAGGTGGAGGTTGCAGTGAGCCGAGATTGCACCACTGCACTCCAGCCTGGGTGACAGAGTGAGATGCTGTCTTAAAAAAATAATAATAAAAATAAAATGGAGATGTCCACTGGCTGCAGTGGTTCAGGCCTGTAATCCCAGGACTTTTGGAGGACAAGGTGGGAGGATTGCCCAGAGCTAGGAGTTAGAGACCTGCCTGGGCAACATCGCAAGACACTGCCTAAAAAAAAAAACCAAGAAACGTTTAAAAATGGAAAAGTGTCTTACACTTGATAGCACATCATGAACCAGTCAGTAGCACTCTTTCTTCCTTAGTGGGGCATAAGTAATGCTGCATCTTGCATTCAACGTCATCTTAGATGGGATGAAATACACATTTTGGAATAAACGAATAAATGTATGCTTTCTTTTGGTGCTATTTCTTCTGTTTTGGTCTTATTTGTAAACACAAGGAAATTAGGATTCCTTTTTTTTTTTTTTTGAGACAGAGTCTCACTCTGTCACCCAGGCTGGATTGCAATGGTGTGGTCTCAGCTCACTGCAACCTCCGCCTCCCAGGCTCAAGCAATTCTCCTGCCTCAGCCTCCTGAGTAGCTGGGACTATAGGCGCGTGCCACCACACCCGGCTAATTTTTGTATTTTTAGTAGAGACAGGGTTTCACTATGATGGCCAGGCTGATCTCGAACTCCTGACCTTGTGATCCACCCACCTTGGCCTCCCAGAGTGCTGGGATTACAGGTATGAGCCACTGCACCTGGCCTAGGATTCCTTTAGTAACTGTCTAGTATGGTGCTGGGAATTCTTTTGGGAACAGAGGCAGCCAACCAACAGAAGTGAATGACATAGTTCTTACCCTCAAGGACAAGAAAACCAGCAATTACAGTGCAACATGCTAAGTGCTACAATAAAGGAATGCTTTCGGGCAGAGTCCAGAGAAGGGATCTCATTCAGCCTGTGCAGATCCTGGAAAGCTTCCCAAGGGATAGGGTAACTGACCGGAGACTTGTGACATATTTGTGGGGCACTTTGAGCTGCTGTCACATATGTGGATTCTTTTGATCTTCACATCACCTCTGTGAGGTAGGAGAACCATCCTGTCTTAGAAATGCAAAGACTGAAGTTCAGAGAAGTTAAATAAATTGTCCCCAAACCTCCTTAACGGTAAGTGGCAGGGAGGGGTGGGGGGTGAGGGAGTTAAACTCAGGTTTCCTGGCTCCAGGATTACTCACTTTTTATCTCATTTGGACTGAATCTCAAGTGATGAACTGTTCTGCACTGTCTCTACAAAAATCACTCACAGGTATGAACACTTTTATCCTTCAGTCTTCTCTTCTTTAGGCTTGCAATGGCAGGCTCTCGGATCTTTCCTCCAATCTGTATTGGGTTTTGAGCCAAGCAAGAAAAACCAGACACAGTCCCTATTCTTGAGGAGCCCCCAGTCTGAAAACAAGTCGTGGATACACAGAAAAAACATTCTTGTGTGTGTGATGGATGGTAGGGAACGTGTCATCAATTGTGACATTTATGGCATTTATTTGCCTTTACTAGTGAGTTCTGCTTTTTAAGATGTTTGCGACTTCTCAGGCCTCACCCTCAAAAGAATTTGAAAATTGAACACAAGCAGAGATGTTTTGTTTTCAACTCAGGACCTCACCCAGAGTTTTTTAGGCAGCAACCCTGAACCAAGTTGGCCTCGAGGTATTCGTGAGTTTCCATACCCAGAAGACTTTTTCAGCTTCTACCTTCTACCCATGAAAGGAGGTGGCATGGATGTTTCCTTTTTCTTTTTCTTTTTTTTTTTTTTTAGTATTTATTGATCATTCTTGGGTGTTTCTCGGAGAGGGGGATTTGGCAGGGTCATAGGACAATAGTGGAGGGAAGGTCAGCAGATAAACAAGTGAACAAGGGTCTCTGGTTTTCCTAGGCAGAGGACCCCGCGGCCTTCCGCAGTGTTTGTGTCCCTGGGTACTTGAGATTAGGGAGTGGTGATGACTCTTAACGAGCATGCTGCCTTCAAGCATCTGTTTAACAAAGCACATGGTGCACCGCCCTTAATCCATTTAACCCTGAGTGGACACAGCACATGTTTCAGAGAGCACGGGGTTGGGGGTAAGGTTATAGATTAACAGCATCCCAAGGCAGAAGAATTTTTCTTAGTACAGAACAAAATGGAGTCTCCCCTGTCTACTTCCCTCTACACAGACACAGCAACAATCTGATTTCTCTATCTTTTCCCCACATTTCCCCCTTTCTATTCGACAAAACCGCCATCGTCATCATGGCCGGTTCTCAATGAGCTGTTGGGTTCACCTCCCAGACGGGGTGGCTGCCGGGCAGAGGGGCTCCTCACTTCCCAGTCGGGGCTGCCGGGCGGAGGTGCCCCTCACCTCCCGGACAGGGCGGCTGGCCGGGCGGGGGCTGCCCCCCCACCTCCCTCCCTGACGGGGCGGCTGCCGGGCGGAGATGCTCCTCACTTCCCAGACGGGGCGGCTGCCGGGCGGAGGGGCTCTTCACTTCTCAGACGGGGCGGCCGGGCAGAGACGCTCCTCACCTCCCAGACGGGGTCGCGGCTGGGCAGAGGCGCTCCTCACATCCCAGACGGGGCGGCGGGGCAGAGGCGCTCCCCACATCTCAGACGATGGGCGGCCCGGCAGAGATGCTCCTCACTTCCTAGATGGGATGGCGGCCGGGAAGAGGCGCTCCTCACTTCCCAGACTGGGCGGCCAGGCAGAGGGGCTCCTCACATCCCAGACAATGGGCGGCCAGGCAGAGACGCTCCTCACTTCCCAGACGGGGTGGCAGCCGGGCAGAGGCTGCAATCTCGGCACTTTGGGAGGCCAAGGCAGGCAGCTGGAAGGTGGAGGTTGTAGCCAGCCGAGATCACGCCACTGCACTCCAGCCTGGGCAACATTGAGCACTGAGTGATTGAGACTCCGTCTGCAATCCCAGCACCTCGGGAGGCCGAGGCTGGCAGATCACTCGCGGTTAGGAGCTGGAGACCAGCCCGGCCAACACAGCGAAACCCCGTCTCCACCAAAAAAATACGAAAACCAATCAGGCGTGGCGGCGCGCGCCTGCAATCCTAGGCACTGGGCAGGCTGAGACAGGAGAATCAGGCAGGGAGGTTGCAGTGAGCTGAGATGGTGGCAGTACAGTCCAGCTTCGGCTCGGCATCAGAGGGAGACCGTGGAGAGAGAGGGAGAGGGAGAGGGAGAGGGAGACAGTGGGGAAAGGGAGAGGGAGACCGTGGGGAGAGGGAGGGGGAGAGGGAGACCGCGGGGAGAGGGAGAGGGAGAGGGAGGGGGAGAGGGAGACCGTGGGGAGAGGGAGAGGGAGGGGGAGAGGGAGACCGTGGGGAGAGGGAGAGGGAGAGGGAGGAGAGGGAGAGGGAGGGGAGGGAGAGGGAGGAGAGGGAGGAGAGGGAGAGGGAGGAGAGGGAGAGGGAGGAGAGGGAGAGGGGGAGGGGGAGGAGAGGGAGGGGGAGGGGGAGGGAGAGGGAGAGGGAGGAGACTGGATGTTTCCTTTGATCATCTATCACATCTTTGCAGAGGACATATAAGCCTGTGCATGGCTATGAGAACACAGTGGAGAGCCATGTAAATAGCTTTTGCCTTCAAGGTGCCTGGCAGAAGCGAATGAATATTGCTGTCATGTACATGCAAACGTTGTGAAATGCTTCAATGTTCCACATCTTCTTTGGAGACCTTTAAGAAATTCATGGAACTTTCAGCAGTGATATTTACCACCAACAATGTAATCAAATGGGGCAGCAAGCAAAATGAGCTACTACTAATGCACCATGGAGCAGAGGAATTTTCTCTTGCGCTAACACCACAACAGACCCATTCTTTCATTTGGATTAGTATTCACTACTTGTGCTTAGTTGCTTGCAGTGGATACCCAATTTGTGAAGTGAGCTGAGGTATAATGCAGTATTGTATACTGGAACACAGGGGCTGCAAAAGCAGAACTCACTAACAAAGTCAAATGCCATGAACGTCACAATTGATGAAAACTGGCCATTTGAAAAATCTAGATATGATAAAATTGTTAAATTGATGAGGATGAAGATTGGATTATAGTATATATTCAGCATGCAAAAACAGATAATCAGGGGAAATGCAGTGACAGTCAAAGCAACTATGGAAACAATATCCATGGCAACAAATGGCCTGGTCGGAAGAGAGGCCCAAAGACTGCCTGTGTCTTCCTGATGAAATGTCTGGTAGCCCCCTAGTGGCAATGACCGGGTAGTGGCCCTCTGCGAGATGGGCGCCTCTCTGGAGATTGAGCGCCACTTCTGAGGGCCTGGAGAAGTTGACTTGTTTTGCATCCCACGGGGTCACCCCCACCTCCCCCTTTCCTTGCACTCACTGACATGAGACACAACGTATGTCCACAAACAACTGCTGCTCCTCATTGCATCTAAAGCTCCGTTGCCGGAAAACATACCATTATTTCATGCAGCACTAAGAGGAAAACACAGCGGGTTAAACTATGACACGCCATTGATTGTAAGACGCATCCCTATTCAAGAGATGATAAATGGGAAAATAAATATATGTCTTACAACCTATAAAATATAAATGACTTTCGGCATTTATATTATATTACAGGGTGAGGTGGCTCACACCTGTAATCCCAGCACTTTGGGAGGCCGAGGCGAGTGGTTTGCTTGAGCTCAGGAGTTGGAGACCAGCTCGGATAACATAGCAAGACTCTGTATTTAAAAAATATATATATATATATGTATATATATACACACACACATATATATAAATGACTTTCAGTGATTCATTTAACATTTTCAGATACTTGTTCCCTCACAAACTAAACAACTAAACCATTAATTAATTAATTCACTCATTCTACTCACATTTATTAAGTGTGGATTATTGGACAAGCACACTGACGTCAACACTGAGGATACAGCAGTGAGCTGGTGTCCTGTCTTTAGGGGGCTTTTGTTACAGTGACTTGGTTTCTGATTATCTTTGTCACACTGAATCTGTGAGTCAGTGAGTCCGTGACCCTAAGTGAGTTTCAGAGTGAAAACAGACACCAGATAAGAAGCCAGAAAACCTGGGTTCTAGTCTAGTTCTTCCCCTTAATAGTTTATTTAATCTGTCTCAACCTTATTTTATCTACTTATAGTCTATCACGGTTAAATTGAGAAATAGTTATATTTTTCTCATAGCAGAGTCTTTCAAACAATACGCAATGACAATCAAAATAGCAAAGTAGCTGTGGAAACAGTGTCCATGGCGACCAATGGTCCCATCTTTTCTTTCTTTCTTTTTTTCTTTCTTTCTTTCTTTCTTCTTCTTTTTCTTTCTTTTTCAAGGTCTCTGAGTTTCAAGTCAAGCCTAAAAAAAATTTTAAGTTTTTTTAATTTGCTGGAATGCAGTGGCATGATCATGGCTCATAGAAGCCTTAATCTCACTGGCTCAAGTAATCTTCTCACCTCAGCTTCCCAAATAGCTGGGATCATAGGCATGCACCACCATGCCCTGCTACGTTTTATTTTTATTTTTTCAATAAAGATTAGGTCTCACCATGTTGCCCAGGCTGGCCTTGAACTCCTGGACTCAAGGTATCTTCCAGCCTCAGCCTCCCAAAGTGCTGGGATTATAGGCATGAGCCACAGCACATGGACCTCATCTTTCTTTCATGTCACTAGATCAAGAAAGCTCCAGAGTTTTTCTTGTTCCCTTCAGGTGTCAAGCAATATCATTTTATGTATATAAACATCTAATTCAGAATAGTTTCACTCTTTTTTCCTATTGTCCTGCATAAAGCTTCCCCCTCCCCAGTGGACAGACTGCAATGGGCTGGCATCTGACATTTGTCTGCAGACCTCATGGTAGGAGACAGGCTGGTTTTCTGCCCTGGGAGTGGGAGTGTAGGAAAGGAGGAGGCACTGGGGACCTGTATCCCAGGTTTTCAGGGCAAGGCTGTGTAAGTATTTCCAGCAGACTAGTGTGAGGCATGCTAGGAAGCGAGCTGATGTGGAGCCGAGCTAATCCTGTCTGATGTGGCCACCTACAGGCATCAACAGGCCTCAGCAGAGAGAAGCTGAAGTGATTACTGCATTCCTATGAGCTGTGGGAGGAATAAATCGTGGAAAGAAATCCTCATTTGCAACTGTATGGCATTAGGGGTGAGGGGTCTCGGAAGAAGCACCCAAGGAGGAGGAATCCCCTGTAAGCCCCTACCAGTCCCAGAGAATGCAAAGCCCTCTTGCAAACCGTGCCTGCTCCACGCCCCAGACCACTCCTTCCCCCAACCCTTCCCCATTCTACTCAACCTTGGAGGGTTAGAAACCACCATTAGCAAGACAGGAGAAGAAGGATAGATGCATAATGTTGAGGACCTGTTTCCCCATTTCTCATCTTCCCATCCTTGCAAAGCCCTTGCTGGAGGAAAGGAGACTTACCTTTGGAACTAAACGTTGAGTTTCTGAATTGGCATTGTGTTTGGTAATATAAAATAACTACAGGACCTAAGAGAGATCAGAACAGTCTTAGTACTGTCCATATTTTCATCTTGGAATGGGGAAAACTGGCTCCACTGAGCAAGTTAAGGACGTCATAGACTGATCTGTAGATGTTCAATGAAATCTGTAATTCAAGACTAAATAACGTATTCTTGGCTGGGCACAGTGGCTCACGCCTGTAATCCCAGCACTTTGGGAGGCCGAGGAGGCGGGCGGAGGGCAGATCACCCGAGGGCAGGAGTTTGAGATCAGCCTGGCCAAAGTGGTGAAACCCCATCTCTATTAAAAATACAAAAATTAGCCAGGCGTGGTGGTGTGCACCTGTAATCTCAGCCACTCGGGAGGCTGAGGCAGGAGAATCACTTGAACCCACGAGACAGAGGTTACAGTGAGCCAAGATCATGCCACTGCACTCCAGCCTGGGCTACAAGAGCAAGACTCCATCTCAAGGAAAAAAAACTAATTAATAATAATAACTTATTCTTGAGACACATGCGATGCAAGACAAGTATTTATTGCTAGGATCTCCTCAGGTAAGCTGTGCAGTAAGTCTGTGCTGTCCTACATGGTAGCCATTAGCCACATGTAGCAACTGAGCACATGAAGTGTGGCTAGTCCAAATACAAATGTGCTCTTAAGTGCAAGACACACATGAGATTTCAAAGACTTAGTACAAAAACAGTAAAATATCTCACTAATAATTTTTATGTTTATTACTTGTCAAAATCACAATATTTTGGATATGCTGTGTTAAATAAAATTTACTATTAGAATTAATTTCACCTGTTGTTTTTTACCTTTTTGATGTGACTACTAGAACTTTGTAAATTACACGGAGCTCGCTTTCTGTGGACATGTAGTCTCTCTCACAGAGAAATACATGTATATTTCTGCTGGACATGTAGTCTCTCTCACAGGTCATAAGGCACTGAGGTCACAGGCCATAGGTTGGGATGTTTCTCCTCCAGAGAGTAGCTCATTCTCACTTTAAATCATCCTAAAGAACACAGGTACTGGTAGGTAGGTGGGCCGCAAGCTGGATTGAGTGGGGAAACTTCCTGCTGTCTTTGAACCAGAACAAGAACAGAGTTGGGAGCCTGTATTTTGCATAGTGAAGGCACACTCAAGGGAGCCACCTATCTTGGGGAGTTATGCTGGCCCCCAAAACTCAGAGCGTGCTAAAGGTGAGGCAGAGAAGCCTCCTGTAGCAAGTGCATACAGGGAGGGGCGTGGGCCTCTGAAATCTGAAAGCACCATGTCTCATTTCCAGTTTTAAGTGTACCTGGAATTCTCTTCTGTTATCCCTAGGTCTTTAGTGGAGCCTGATTAAACATGAGGCTGAGGGCAGCTGTGGGAGCTGAGGGTGGATTCTGTGCCCACTCGTGGCCCCCCCACTGGCCATGGCTTCCTCCCCAGCAGGCCTCGACAGCAGTCTCTGGAGCCTCTGGCCCAGCTTGCTGCGGGTCGCTGCTGTTCTCTTTGTGTCTCTTAGCCTGTGACTTCAATGCAGTCATCTCATTTCTGGGAATCTATCCAATTCTCAATTGTGTAAAAAGCTTTATAAACAAAAAAAGTGCATTACAGTTTACTATCTTAACAAAATATTGGAAGCAGCAGAAACATTTAGCAGTAAAAACTATAAATTATAGACTATGTACTTTGTGCATCATTGGGAAGCCACTTAAGTGACTTTTATTAAAACTTATATTAACAAAGAAGACAATAGTGTCATAATAATTTATTTAAAAAGAATTAAAGGCCAGGCACAGTGGCTCATGCTGTAATCCCAGCACTTTGGGAGGCCGAGGCTGGCGGATCACTTGAGGTCATGGCAAAACCCCATCTCTACTAAAAATACAAAAATTAGCCAGGCGTGGTTGGTGGGTGCCTGTAATTCCAGCTACTTGGGAGGCTGAGGCACGAGAATCTCTTGAACCCGGCAGGCAGAGGTTGCAGTGAACAGAGATCACGCCACTTTACTCCATCCTGGGTGACAGAACTAGACTGTCTCAAAAATAAATAAATAAATAAATATAAGGAATTAAGGAACACACAATTATATATGCAATTGGTGACAATAAAATACAACCCCTCAAAAAGAACAAAAACAAAAACCTAAACAACAACAACCACCTAGGTATAAAGAAAAGACTAGAAAAAAATGTTTTAAAATGAAACCATAACTGTATTAGGGTTCTCCAGAGAAACAGAACTAAAACCTCTCTCTCTCTGTCTCTCTCTCTCTCTCATATAGATGAGAAGACACACTCAAAGGAGCTCATATAGGTGAGAGAGAGATTTTAAGGAATTGGCTCACACGATTGTGGAGATTGGCAAGTCCAAAATTTGCAGGGAAAACTGGCAGGCTTGGAGACAAAAGTTAATGTCACAGTTCAGGCCTAAGGGCAACCTGGAGGCAGAATTCCCTCTTCCTTGGGGGATGTCAGACCCACTCACATACGGGAGGGTAATTTGCTTTATTCAAAGTCCATCCATTTAAATGTTGATTTCATCTACAAAATACCTTAGTAGAAACATCTAGAATAATGTTTGACCAAATATTTGGGTACCATGGCTTAAGCATACTGACACATGAAATTAACCTTTGGCTGGGCACAGCAGCTCATCCCTGTAATCTCAGCACTTTGGGAGGTTTAGATGGGTGGATTGCTTGAGCCCAGGAGTTCAAGACCAGCCTGGGGAATATAGTGAGACTCTGTCCCTACAAAAAACAACGAGAAAAAATTAGCTAGGCATGGTGGCGAGTGCCTGTGGTCCCAGCTGCTCGGGAGGCTGAGGTGGGAGGATCTCTTGAGCCTGAGAAGTTGAGGCTGCAGTGAGCCGTGATTGTGCCACTGCACTCCAGCCCGAGTGACAGAGTAAGACCATGCCTCAAAAAATTAATTAATTCATTAAATTTAATAAATATTTTTAAAAATTAACTTTCACAATGATCTAAGGCTTACTACTTTAGGATTTGCTTTTGAAATACTTTTCTGTGTTTTCCAAAATACATAAAATAATAAAGATGTACTTATGATGGAAAAGGCCTGTGTAAACACATTTTAAAACACAGCCTCCTTGGGGTAGCCCCAGAGTCCCAGGGCTCTCCATGGCCCCTTGGACACCTTTCACAGCATTCCTCACCTCTGTCTTCTACCATTATTATGCATGTCTGAATATGTCTTCCTTTGCTAAACATCAAACAGAGTTTTAGGACTGGGATTCTAGAAAGTGAGAGAAGGCAGGCGCAGAGGAGGCAGTGGGAGCCTGCCTGAGGGCATTAACGTCAGTCCTGGGCTATGTGCTGGCTCCTCAGGACCGCCCTTCTGAGGGGCACAGACACGTGAGTGGAGGGAGCTCATGTTCCAGTTTCTTTGCAAAAATCAACTTGATAAAGTTTTTCCTGTTTTGTTAAAATTGCCTAAAATTTTTTAGCAATACTTCATTTGATTTTCTCTAATGGTTTCTGTCATTTCTTTGAGTTTTAATTTATTGCTCATGCTTTAACATCCCAGTTTATGTCTTGCTTAATTTAATGTCCATATAGTTGACCCTTGAGCAACATGGATTTGAACTGCATAGGTCCACTTAGGTCCACTTATGCATGGGTTATTTTCAATCAAATGCAGATCACAAACACAGTAATGGTGACATGTGAAACCCATGTATACAAAGGCCCAACTTTACATATATTTGGGACCCAAAGGGCTGACTGTGGGACTTGAATATGTGTAGGTTTTGGTATACACAGGAGTCTTGGAACCAATCCCCCTCATATACCAAGGGACTACTGTATATCTGCTTTGTTTATTTCTTTTTTTTTTTTTTGAGGTGGAGTCTCACTCTGTTGTCCAGGCTGGAGTGCAGTGGCGCCATCTCGGCTCACTGCAACCTCCGGCTCCCGGGTTCAAGTGATTCTCCTGCCTCAGACTCTCAAGCATCTGGGACTCCAGTCACCCGCCACGCCCAGCTAATTTTTTGTATTTTTAGTAGAGACGGGGATTCACCATGTCGGCCAGGTTGATCTCCAACTCCTGACCTCAAGTGATCCGCCAGCCTCAGCCTCCCAAAGTGCTGGGATTACAGTCGTGAGCCACGGTGGCCAGTCTCATTACCATTTGTTAAGAACTCATTTGGGCGGGCAACAGGTATACATCGCCTCATGAAAACTGAGTCACTCAGCCTGTGCTCCCACCTGGACAGAACACCATGCAGCCTCTGCTTAGAGATGCTCCACAGGAGCCAGTGTGGAAACACCAGGGCCAGGCATCCTTTAGAAAACCATTTTGGGATTGCTCCAGCTCATGAACCAGCAGTTAACTGAGTCACCAGCCATATCATAAAGCATGACTACAACTACGCAGGCCTGGTCCCTAACCCCATGTTGTTACAGCAAAATATAACCCATTCTTATTTCAGAAAAAGAAAAAAAGCTAGATGTGATGGCACATGCCTGTAGTCCTGGCTACTTGGGGGGCTGAGTCAGAGGATCAGTTGAGCCCAGGAGTTCAAGGTCACAGTCAGCTGATTGTACCACTGCACCCCAGCCTGGGCAACAGAGGGAGACCATCTCTAAATAAAATAAGACAAAAACAACAACAAAAAAAAAACAGAAGAAGAAAATATACCAAAATGTTAACAATGTCTTCTATCTTTATTTATTGGGGTTAGAAATTACTTTTGTTTTCTTATATTATGTATATTTTATTTCAAACCTGATAATTTTTTTTTCCTTTTTGAGACAGGATCTCGCTCTGTTGCCCAGGGTGGAGGGCAGTGGTGCGATCTCGGCTCATTGCAGCCTCAGCCTCCCAGGCTCAGGCAATCCTCCCACCTCAGCTCCCTGAGTAGCTGGGGCTACAAGAACACGCCACCATGCCTGGCTAATTTTGTTCGCTTTTTGTAGAGATGGAGATCTCACTACGTTGTCCAGGCTGGTTGCAAACTCCTGGACTCAAGCCCTCCTGCCTCGGCCTCCCAAAGTGCTGGGATTACAGGCGTGAGCCACCATGTCCAGCCAATGTTATTTAATTTATTTATTTTTATTTATTTATTTTTTTGAGACAGGGTCTCATTCTGTTGTCCAGACTAGAGTGCAGTGGTGCAATCATGGCTTATCGCAACCTCAACTTCCCTGGGCTGAGGTGATCCTCCTACCTTAGCCTCCCAAGCAGCTGGGACTACAGGTGTGAGCCACCACACTTGGCTAATTTTTGTATTTTTTGTAGAGATGGGGGTCTTACTATGTTGCTCAGGCTGGTCTTGAACTCCTGGACTCAAGTTATCCTCCCACCTCGGTGTCCCAAAGTGCTGGTATTACAGATGTGAGCCACCATGTCCAGCCTTATTTTTAAAAGAAGGAGAAAATTATTGAGCAAGAGAGTCTCTCTGCAGTTCTTAAGATTGCTGTCAGAACCACCTCAATACTCTTTCTGCAGTCTGTGCTTTGAGCAGCAATATAAAAATGCAGCATTTTATGAGCATTAATAGCAGGGAATGTAAATTAGCCTATTTGTTTTGGCTCTGCTTTGCTTCTGATCATTAGAGGCCAGCAAAAATAGAATGAGAACTGCAAACTCCCTCTTGTTCCCGGAAGATCTCTCCACAGCATGGCATATCAGTCAGATTTCTGGGCTGTCTCATCTCCGTCTCCGTAAGAAAGGATCTTGTTGGAAATACATTGAGGCATACACTGAAGCAGAGGCCCCAGTGCCACCTGGGCAGAGGCAAGCCAGAGAAAACAGAGGGAAATGAAAAGAAAGACTTCCTGGTATTCACTTCTACATACTGCCAGCTAAGCTGCGCTGGGTACCCAGAGCCCACCCACCACATCTACACCACAAATTCAACTGGGACTTCGGGCTTTTTTTTTTTTTTTTTGAGTCTGAGTTTCGCTCTTGGTTCCCAGGCTGGAGTACAGTGGCAGGATCTTGGCTCACCACAACCTCCGCCTCCTGGGTTCAAGTGATTCTCCTGCCTCAGCCTTCCTGAGTAGCTGGGATTACAGGCATGCACCACTACGGCTGGCTAAGTTTTTTGTTTTTTTTTTTTTAGTATAGACGGGGTTTCTCCATGTTGGTTAGGCTGGTCTTGAACTCCTAACCTCAGATGATCCGCCCACCTTGGCCTCCCAAAGTGCTGGGATTACAGGCCTGAGCCACTGTGCCTGGCCGGGCCTTCAGGCTTTATGTAGCTGATTGAACACAACCATCTCTGCTCCCAGCAGAAATCCCACCAAAATGTGATAAAGGGGTTTTAAAAGGCAAGGACTGACAAGAACAAAAGGCGGGGGGAGAGGAGAGAGAGAGAGAGAGAGAGAGAAACTGACTACACAATCTAAATAAATAGAGAATAATGATCTGGATAACAAATAGACAAAGGTCTTAGCAGATAAGAGAAATTTAAAGGTAAAATGTCAGTGGGAGAATCCCAGAAGCAGGCTGATTTCACATAGCAGAACCCCAGTAAGGAATGGAGAAACCAAGTATCCCAAACGTGAGTGTGCAAGAGGCCTGGAACCAGAGGCTGATGGTCTATGTAAGAAGCCACTAGAACCCTAGATCTCCTAACTCAACGCACATGGCAGAGTGACCCCCTATATTCCACCCTAATGAGTGGTTTGCTCGCTGGAGGCGTTGAACCATGCCACATCCTGGGAACCACAATGAAAATCATTTAAGGCTGGGCGTGATAGCTCATGCTTATAATCCTAGCACTTTGGGAGGCCAAGGCAGGAGGATCACTTGAGTCCAGGAATTCAAGACCAGCCTAGGCAACAGAGCAAGATCCCCAGCTCTACCAAAAAAAAAAAAATTACATATATATATATATAGCCTATGGCCTTCTGGCTTTATGTGGCCAGAAGAAAACAAAATAAAATAATTTAAAAAATAGAAAATAAGTAATAATAAAAGAAATAAAATAAGAGAAGCAATAAAAGAAAAGAAAAAGTCATTTAGGATTATGTAAAAGCCTGCCTATCGAACAGTAAGGCTTCCTGGTCCCCTCCATGAAGTTGGTTCTGAGAACTCCAGCAGCCAGACTTGCCCCAGGCCGATTAATAGAGAAACCTTCTCTGGAGAAACTGACCAGACAAGGAAAAACACCTAGGAACACAGGAGTAAGGGGGTTCTGACGGATATTAAGCTACTGTCACTTGACTTCAAAACCCTCTTCCACTCTCTCCTTCCCAGCTGGCTCCCTCTTAGGTGTAGAGGGAGGTGTCAGCACTGGAGGAAGAAGGGATCCCTTCCCTTGTTGGCCTCCCAATCCTGCCGGCATCACCACAGCCGAGGATCTTCAGCCCTGTAGCAACAGCTGGTCCAGCAGCAGTAGCAAGTCCCAAACTGTGGTTCTTCCTCACTCCCGGCAAAGGCCTCTTCCCGTGGCCTCAGTGATACCGGCTCACTGGCCAGGCTCCTCCTTAGGAAACTGAATTCTAGCTCCGTGGGGCCATCCTCCCAGATTCTCCCATTGAATAATACTGACCTCTTCCCTCAGTTCCCCAAGACTGAGGGAGAGGCAGTTGCCCCATTCCTGATTCCCACGCGTTCTACCTCTGCGGTATCTCAGTGCTCTTTTTGTCTTTTTAGATCTCAATATGTGGTTAACAATCCTTTATATAAAATTACCTCTGTCTGGGCGCGGAGGCTCACGCTTGCAATCCCAGCACTTTGGGAGGCCGAGGCAGGTGGATCACCTGAGGTCAGGAGTTTGAGACCAGCCTGGCCAATATGGTGAAACCCTGTCTCTACTAAAAATACAAAACTTAGCTGGGTGTGGTGGCAGGTGCCTGTAATCCCACTACTTGGGAGGCTGAGGCAGGAGAATCATTTGAACCCGGGAGACCGAGGTTGCAGTGAGCCGAGATTGTGCCACTGCACTCCAGCCTGGGCAACAGAGTGAAATTCCTTTTCAAATAGAATAAAATAAAACAAAATTACCTCTGTTTAAATATTTGGATTTTTTTCTTTCACCTGACTAGACCCTAATACAAGGGTCTTCTGGAGAAACAGTTCAGCCCATTTGCACTATGGTGAAGCCCACTGAAACCTCCCCCCATCCCCAACACACACACCTGGAGTTTCCAAACAGCTTAAGATCTAACTAAGCCAAGGATTACTGTATCATTCACAAAGCCCAAGCCCCAATTTGAGCAGAGAAAGTTTATTATTAGAAAGAATTATTGGCTGTAACAGGCTAAAAAGACGTGCAGAGAACTCCAAAGAATGCTGTAGGGCCGCGGGAGAGTACCCAAAGAAGGACACACGTGGAAGCATCCCCACCCCAAAGCTGGATTCAGAACTCAAGGCAGAAAGTGTGCATGTGCCCACCAGGTACCAGATTATTTCCCTGGGATGCCCAGGCCAAAGCCTGTGAACAGTCATGAGCAAGCAGGAAACTGGGGGGGTCGCGGCATCGGGAGCCCACTCACTGCATGCAAGGCCTGGGGCATGCAGGGTCCACGTCAGGGCCAGCTCGCTGGGGGAACGCATGCTGTCAGCACGCAGCTAGGACAGAGACCACCAGATGTTCCCACCTGGCCACTGATGGGCCCTGCCGCAGGAGCAACAAGAATCACAAACCATAGCTCCCGGAACCAGAGATAAAAGAAATTCTTTCCTCTGGCAGTGTCCCTCCGGCGCCCTCTACTGAGAAAGCTTAATATTGTGCTGGCTGCGAAGGAGAACCGCTTAATTCAATACAGATCAGTTAAGAGGATGGATTTACGGTTGAGAGGCAATACATTGATAAGAAACTAGTCATTATGGGATGAAAACCACTGACATGAAAGACAGGTATTGAAAACACAAGAATTAAGGAATATAAAGCCAGGCGCGGTGGCTCACGCCTGTAATCTCAGTGCCTTCGCAAGCCAAGCTGGGCGGATCGCTTGAGCCCAAGAGTTCAAGAACAGCCTGAGCAAAATGGCGAGATTCTGTGTCTACAAAAAGTACAAAAATTAGCCGGGCGCGGTGGCGTGCACCTGTAGTCTCAGCTGCTCAGGAGGCTGAGATGGGAGGATCACTTGAGTCCGGGAGGTCGAGGCTTCATTGAGCTGTGATTAAGCCATTGCCCTGGACCACAACAGAGAGACCCTGTCAAAAAAAAAAAAAAAAAAAAAAGAAGAAGAAGAAGAAGAGGAAATTTAGAGAATGCAAAGAGCCAAATAATAAAATCCACTGCAATTAATATTTTCATAAACATAAGAGACGATATTTTCTCCATGGTAAAAGAACACATTATTAAATAAAAAATTTAAAGTTGAAGAAATCTTCTAAAAAGAAGCAAAGGGTAAAGAAATGTAGATGGGACCGGGCACAGTAGCTCAGGCCTGTAATCCCAGCACTTTGAGTTGCGGAAGTGGGTGGATCACTTGAGATTAGGAGTTCGAGACCAGCCTTACCAACATAGTGAAACCCCGTCTCTACTAAAAATACAAAAATTAGCCAGGCGTGGTGGCATACGCCTGTAATCCCAGCTACTTGGGAGGCTAAGGCAGGAGAATCGCTTGAACCCGAGAGAGGTGGAGATTGGAGTGAGCCGAGATAGTGCCACTACACTCCAACCTGGGTGACTCCATCTCAAAAGAAAAAAAAAAAGGAAAAGAAATGTAGATGGTATAGAAAATATATGAAAATTAGATCATCTGGATGAATAGGAGGATTTCTAGAAAGAATAGACAGAGGGAACAGAAGGGATGAAATTATCAAAGAAATAATTCAAGAACTTTTCTCAGAACTGAGAGATATGGTTCCAAAGTGAGATAGACCTCAAGTGTCTAACAGAAGTGTCTAACAAAAGGAATGAAATCCAAGGCATACTACCATAATTTTAAAAATACTGAGGACAAAAAGAAAAATCCCAAAATTGGACAAAAAGAAAAAAACAGGTCACATGAAAAAGATCAAAACTCAAATGGTATAGGGTTTTCTCTTTTTTTCTTTCTCTTTTCCTTTTTTTTTTTTTTTTTTTTTGAGACAGGATCTCACTCTGTCACCCAGGCTGGAGCGTAGTGATACAATCATGGATCACTGCAGCCTTGAACTCCTGGGCTCAAGGGATCGTCCCCTCTCAGCCTTCTGAAAACTACAGACACGTACCACCATGCCCAGCTAATTTTTAAATTTAATTTTATTTTTTGTAGAGACGAAATCTTACTACGTTGCCCAGGCTGGTCTTGAACTCCTGGGCTCAAGCAATCCTCCCACTTTGGCTTCCCAAAGTGCTGGTATTACAGGTGCGCACCATAACACCTAGCTGAGGACTTTTCAACAGTAGCACTGGAAGCTGGAAGATAGTGGAGCAGTGCTTTCCTAATTTAGGTGTAAATTTTACAACTTGGAATTTTATTTTCAGTAAAACTATTAATCAGATGTAATCATAATATAAAAGACATTTTCAGACAAAATTTCAAAAATTGCCCTCCCTTGCCCCTTTCCTTAGGAAGTTCCATCAAAGTAAGGGATTAGATCAGGAGAGATAAAGATGTGGGATCCTCCAAAGAGTGAGGAGAATGAAAATCCCAGGAGGTTGCTGTGTAGGAGAACTAGGGATCCGCAGGTCCAGATTAAAATGGTTTGGAGGCCGGGCATGGTGGCTCCTGCTTGTAATCCCAGCACTTTGTGAAGCCAAGGCGGGTGGATCACCTGAGGCTAGGAGTTTGAGACCAGCCCGGCCAACATAGTGAAACCCCGTCTCTACCAAAAACACACAAAAGAATTAGCTGGGCATGGTGGCACATGCCTGTAATTCCAACTACTCAAGAGGCGGAGGCAGAGAATTTCTTGAACCCAGAAGGCAGAAGTTGCAGTGAGCCAAGATTTCACCACTGCACTTCTGCCTGGGTGACAGAGTGGATCTCAAAAAGAAAAAAGAAAAAAAAAAAAGGCTTGGGGCCAAAACCTCAGGGATTAAGAAAATTCCTTTACCTGGTTACAGAAAGATATTACCAAGAAAAAGAGGGAATTGATTAATTGTAATACATTAGACTGCAGAGAAAAAATAGACTTCTATAGAATCTGCTGACAAATTTGTGATAAATTCATAGACAAATGATCAAAAGAAAACCTAGTAGATCTGTATAATTCTGGATATCATTCCATAAAGCCCAGCTTAGAACCTGTGCCCTCAGCCCTTATAAAGATTTCAAAAGCTCTTAATACCCTTTGTAAAATGTCTTCCTGTTAATTTACCTAGCGTAATCTCTAGTTGCTGCACTGAACCCTGACTGATATAACTTGTTATTAAGAAACAGGAAGATAAAAACTAATTGAGCATCGAAGTGCTTTTACTTCTAGGAAGAGAGAATTAGGGGTTGGTACCGGACTATAGCTTTTGTTCTGTCTTTGGCTTTTTAAATTACATATCTGTAATTTATATACACACACATATATATTTGGCTTTTAAAATTACATATCTGTATAAATCTGATAAAAATTTTAAATAGTTAAATAAAAACTTATTTAGGAGATAATATATTAGAATACTAAGATGAGTGCTGAGTTTAAAAAACAAAAAGGCCAGGAGCGGTGGCTCACACCTGTAATCCCAGCATTTTGGGAGGCCAAGGTGGGTGGATCACCTGAGGTCAGGAGTTTGAGACCAGCCTGACCAACATGGTGAAACCCTGTCTCTACTAAAAATACAAAAAAATCAGCTGGGGATGGTGGCAGGTGCCTGGGTAACAGAGTGAGACTCCGTCTAAAAATGAAAGTGGCATCTGATACAGAGAAGATTAGCATGGCCCCTGCTCAAGGATGACACACAAATTTGTGAAGGGTTCCATTTAAAAAAAAAAAAAAGTCTGAGCGAGGTGGCTCAGTCCTGTAATCCCAGCACTTCGGGAGGCCAAGGCGGGAGGATCACTTGAGGTCAGGGGTTCAAGTCCAGCCTGGCCAACATGGCGAAACTCCGTCTGTACTAAAGTACAGAAAAATTAGCTGGGCATGGTGGTGCATGCCTGTAGTCCCAGCCCCAGCTACTCCGGAGGCTGAGGCAGCAGAATTGCTTGAACTCAGGAGGCGGAGGTTGCAGTGAGCTGAGATCATGCCATTGCACTCCAGCCTGGGCAAGAAGAGCAAAATTCCATCTCAAAAAAAAAAAAAGGGCATCTGAATATATACAATTACAATGTCAATAAAAATAGATAAATGAATAAATACAGTTAGTCTTTTTTTTTTTAATGGCATCTGGACATTCCTACATTCTGGAAGATTTACAAATACATAGTGGGGATACCTCTCATAAATGTATAAGCCTCTCAGTTTTTCCTTCCAATGCATTGCAGATTGTCCTTATTTAGCCCTTTCCCCTGGGAACCTGAGACTGAGAGCAGTGCAAGCTATGCTTTTTTTGTAAACACAGCACCTCACATTTCTAGAAGACAACCCTAAGTAAACTTCAGGGCCCTACGTCGGTCACCATTCCATCTGCTCTTCTCTGCTCTGATTCTTCCTATCCCTCAGAAACCCAAGGCCTCCTTAGCCAAACGGAGCTGCTGTGGTCGCAAATAGCCTTGTGCCCCTGGGAACCTGTGAGATGCAATATGTCGTCAGTCTCCCTCAATCTTGGCCTGAGTCCAAGAGAAAGGCAGCTGCTCTGAGGTTCGAGACTCTCCAGTGACTCAGCTCTCTAATTCCCAGTACTCTGTGCATATGCCCTCCTCAATTCCATCTCCTAGACTTGCCAGATGTAGGTCGAGTCCTCAAAGATGAGATAACCAAGATGCAAAATCCTAAAATCCTCCATTAAGCACCTACCAGCTGCAGAGGCCCTGCTGGGGCCCTGAGGGAGATGTGTGTGGCAGACTGCAGGCCAAGTAAGTCCTTCTTTAAGGCTGGTGTCATGAGAATTACTCAATGCCGCCTCCTGCTGGGGAAGGACACTTCACCCCTTTTATGGAAGCCCAACGGGAAGGACTCATGGGACAGGGCAGGCTGCCCTGTCTCTTTTTTAGGCAGTCACTGCAATCACACATGCTCACTAATCCAGTTCACTAAGGTACGAAGCCACAATAAAGTTTGGAGCCAAAACTGTAGATATAAAGAGAGTTCCTTTATCTGGAATGGCCTCGATTTTTGAATAAGGAGTTTTTTGTTGTTGTTTTGTTTTGTTTTGTTTTGTTTTTGAGACAGAGTTTCACTCTTTTGCCCAGGCCGGAGTGAAGTGGCAAGATCTCTGCTCACTGCAGCCTCCGCCTCCCGGGTTCAAGCAATTCTCCTGCCTCAGCCTCCTGAGTAGCTGGGATTACAGGCGCCTGCCACCACGCCTGGCTAATTTTTGTACTTTTAGTAGAGATGGGGTTTCGCCATGATGGCTAGGCTGGTCTCGAACTCCTGCCCTCACGTGATCCGCCGGCCTCGGCCTCCCAAAATGCTGGGATTACAGACGTGAGCCACCAAGCCCATCCATAAGGTTATATTTTTTAATGTCCTGCCTCCTCCTCTTTTTTTTTCTTCTCTTTTTGTTTTCAAATAACTAAAGATGCACAGAAAGTTGCAAAATTAGTACCGAGATGTCCTGTGCACTCTTCACGCAGCTTCCCCAGTGGTAAGCTCTTACATACTACAGTACATTATCAGAACAAGCAATTGATGCATATTTTCTCAATGCATTGCAGTAGGTGGATTTGGTACTTGAGACCCTCAACAATCTCTTTCCGCATATCATGACTAACAGTATAGGCTCATGGTTTTTAAAGGACTGCCCTTTGAAGGAACTGGATGGAATTTTGTTTGCAAAGAGCTGAGAATCACTGGAGAGGCAATAAATGGAAATGTTCCTGTAGATTGTCACTATAGAGAGCAGGGCTGATGGATGTCAAAGGATATCCAGGGATATAAGCCCTCAGCAGGGAGGAGAGCAAAAAGGCCAGTGTGGTTGGTTATTGGAGAAGTTATTTGGATAGTTTTTAATTAGAGACATCTCTTGCATGAATGGATTTCCTAATGAAATCAAATTTTGATTGTGGAAAGCATAATTAACATGTAGGAAACATCAGTATATTCTAGGACCTGAGAGTAAAGGATGAAGTCCCTTTTAGAGAGATACACTGTTCTCTTTTAGGAAGATGGGCATAGAAGTGCAGGAAGTCAACTAGACGTGTTAAAATATAAATTTTTGGCTGCTTGTAACAGAGACACAAATGCCACTGGTTTAAATTAGGTAGAAAATGTTTTCCCACCCTTGGATCCAAGCACATGAGGACCCTGCCCGGGCTCCATGATCTAGAGGGACCTGCTCTATCATTCCCCCAACTTATAGGACAAAAAGTCCGAGAAGCCAAAGGGATAGACCTACCCATGGAGGTTGCATCTCTTCTACAAGTACTACAGTCTAGGTACTTGGAACCCCTGAATTCCTGGCACTAATGGCCCCCAAGCCTGCTTCCAAGTTTGCATGGGCCTCCTCCTGGGGCCATCGTCCCAGGGGTTATGCCTCGCTGCTGTCGTGCATGCTCTGAGACCCCAAAATGTGGCTGTTTTCAGAGAAGGATATGGGTCTGGAGATTTTAGGGACTTGAATTTTCAGGAAAAGAAAGTAGGGCAGATGCAGGTAGAGGACCCAGAGCTAGTTTTCCTCACTCAGCCATATTCTGCCATGGAACCTAGGGGAGTCTCAGAATTCTAAATTCCAGCCTGGCTGTCCTAGCCTGGATTCCCCAGAAAACAGATTCTCAGATAGATTTATCTGCAGAAGTTTTATTGGGGAACAATCTTGGGACAAACACCTTTAAAAGCTGAGAGAAACGGGACAGGGAAAGGGAGCAGTTGAACTGTAATGAAGCCGTAAAGAGTACTGAGCTGATCTCATGGGTTGTGGAGGCCTCTGGCACTGGAAAAGTCCTTTAAATTTGGCCAAACTCGGCCGGGCGCGGTGACTCACGCCTGTAATCCCAGCACTTTGGGAGGCCGAGTGGGGGAGGATTATCTGAGGTCAGCAGTTCAAGACCAGCCTAGTTAACATGGTGAAACCCCGTTTCTACTAAAAATACAAAAAATTAGCCGGGCATGGTGGCATGCGCCTGTAATCCCAGCTACTCAGGAGGCTGAGGCTGGAGAATCACTTGAACCCAGGAGGCGGAGGTTGCAGTGAGCAGAGATTGTGCCATTGCACTCCAGCTCGGGCAACAAGAGCGAAAGTCCATCTCAAACAAACAAACAAACAAACAAACAAAAAGGTGGCCAAACTTGAAGCAAGGTAACCAGGACTTTGTATGTTCTTATCTTATCTATCAGTCATTGGATGTGGCTGCCCCCAGGGAGGGGAGGTGTAACCTTGGGCAAGGCAGCTCTTTTCAGCTAAGGGCAATTCCCAGAGACAGAGCTGTCACAACCAACACCCCTGGCAGCTGGGGAATAAGTGACAATGTTGAAGGTAGGATTTGGGTGGCACACAACAGTATCTGCTACACTAGACTTCAAGATCAGTATGAAGGTATATTTATCAAGACAAAAGCTGGAACATGTTTTATTCAATAATTTATTTGTTTGACTTATAACAATAAACCATCTCTAACACACATTTCCCTTCCTGATATCAGACAGCTGCTCTGAGGGATACCCGAGACCCACATTCAGGAAGTAAGATAGATATCAGCCTGGACTGCTGAATAGATGCCCTGTGATTTATCTTCAGACATGACTCAGTGGAAATGCAGTTGACTCCATTCTAAAACCTCTCTTGAGAATATTTCCAGGCCCAGTCAACTTATCTTGGTCTCACTATAAGGAAAGGAACTGAGATCAGCTGCACCCTGAGAGGCTAAGATCCTGATAGGGAGCAGGTGAAATCAGGTTGGAAAATAGACAAGACAAAGGCAGGCAGATGTAAGAGGTATTCAAAAGCCCAGTTGTGCTCTATTTTTGCCTTCCACGAGGAATCTTACGGGGAGCTTCCACATTACCCGGTTATTGGTCACGGCGGTGAGTTAAGGCTGTTTTATTGAATGAAATCATCAACCCCCCTCCTTTTCCTGCTAAAACGCAATCTGTTTCCAAGACTTTCCTAATGTAGAGTGATTTTATTGAGCCTAGACCATGGATTTCCCATCTGATAACTCTTTAAGAGGGATGAGATAGAACATAATGTGAGAAAATAACATTGTTCCAAGATTTGTAAATGCTAATAATTGTTGAAGTCCCATGGTAGGTAAATAGAGGTATTTTCTTTATTTTTGTGTAAGTTTGAAAATTTCCATAATAAAAAGTGTTATAAATTGTCTTAGCAGGTCACATAACTAATAATAAAGGTAAAATTTTTGTTGGTCTTAATGAGAGAGAATTTGGAAAGTGGAGATAAGCGGGGCTTTGGAGCTCCTAAACTATTCGGGCTGTGTTTTGACTCAGCGAGCTCAAAGTGGGAGGGCAGGAGAGCTCGCTTTTTAAAAGATCGACAGCGCCATCTACCGGTAAGAGCGCCCAACTCCCTTGCTAAGGATGATATCATTATGCTAGGGTGATAGTAGCAAGCCTCATTGTTAGTCACCTAAGAAGTTAAGACAATAAGAAATCATTCAAAAAATAAAATGGTGGCAGGACGAGGTGGCTCACGCCTGTAATCCCAGCATTTTGGGAGGCCGAGAGGGGAGGATCGCTTGAGCCCAGGAGTTTGAGACCAGCCTGGGCAACATAGTGAGGTCCAAATCGCTACCAAAAAAAAAAAAGAGAAAAAAAAAAAGAAAGGCGTTAAAATTAATTTAAAGATACACAATAATGAAAATATTACAAAGTACTATTATTCAGCCATAAAAAAGAAATTACATTCTATTTATTTATTTTATTTTATTTTATTTTGCAGACAGAGTCTTGCTCTGTCACCCAGGCTGGAGCGCAGTGGCGCAATCTTGGCTCACTGCAACGTCCGCCTCCCCGGTTCAAGGGTTTCTCCTGTCTCAGCCTCCTGAGTAGCTGGGATTACAGGCACGCGCCATCACGCCCAGCTAATTTTTGTATTTTTTTTAGTAGAGACGGGGTTTCACCATGCTGGCCAGGCGGGTCTCCAACTCCTGACCTCAGGTGATCTGCCAGCCTCGGCCTCCCAAAGTGCTGGGATTACAGGCATGAGCCACCGCGCCCAGCAGAAATTACATTCTGATACATGCTACAACATGGATGAACATTGAAAAAATTATGTAAAATGAAATAAGCCAGACACAAAAGGACAAATATTGTATGATTTCACTTACGTTAGATATTTAAAATGGGGAAATCTGGTTTGCCAGCACAGCAGGAAAAAAAATAAATAAAAGTAAAATACAAAAATCATAGAGGTGAAAAGTCAATTTGGCCAGGTGCCGTGGCTCATGCCTGTAATCCCAGCACTCTGAGAGGCTGAGGCAGGAGAACTGTTTGAGGCCAAGAGTTCGAGACCAACCTGGGCAACATGGTGAGACACCCACCCCCACCACCTCTAAAAAAAAAAAAAAGAAAAGAAAATAAGTCGATTAGAGGTTACCAGGGGCTGGGCGGAAAGGAGAATGGGGAGTTATTGCTTAATGGGTAATGAGTTTCTGTTTGGAGTAATGAAAAAAATTTGGAAACAGATAGTGGTTGACAGCTGCACAACAACGTCAAATGTAATTAATGCCAATGAATTATACATTTAAAATGGTTAGGCTGGGTGCAGTGGCTCAGGCCTGTAATCCCAGCACTTTGGGAGGCCGAGGTGGGAGGATCACCTGAGGTCAGGAGTTCAAGACCAGCCTGGCCAACATGGTGAAACCCCATCTGTACTAAAAATACAAAAATTAGCCAGGCATAGTGGCAGGCACCTGTAATCCCAGCTACTCAGGAGTCTGAGGCAGGAGAATTGCTTGAACCTAGGAGGTGGAGGTTGCAGTGAGCCGAGATCGTGCCACTGTACTCAAGCGTGGGCAACAGAACGAGACTCCGTCTTGAGAAAATAAAATAAAATAAAATAAAATAAAATGGTTAAATGGGAAATCTTACCTTATATACATTTTCATATATATAACATACACACACACACACACACACACACACATATATATACACACACACCACACACACATACAAGTATGAGCCACCACACCTGGCTAAATTGACTTTTCACCTCTATGATTTTCCTATTTTATTTTTATTTATTTTTTTCCCTGCTGTGCTGACAAACCAGATTTCCCCATTTTAAATATCTGATGTAAGTGAAATCATGCAATATTTGTCCTTTTGTTTCTGGCTCATTTCATTTTGCATAATTTTTTTTCAATATTCATCCATGTTGTAGCATGTATCAGAATGTAATTCCTCGTTTATAGCTGAATTATATATATGTTTATTTTTACCACAGTAAAAGAAATTTTAGGCCAGGCATGGTGGCTCATGCCTATAATCCCAGCACTTTGGGAGGCCAAGGCAGGTGGATCACTTGAGCTCAGGAGTTTGAGACCAACCTGGGCAACATGGCGAAACCCTGTCTGTACTAAAAATACAAAAATTAGCCGGGCGTGTTGGTGCACGTATCCATTTCAGCTACTTGGGAGGCTGAGGTGGGAGGATAGTTTGAGCCAGCGAAGTCCAGGCTGCAGTGAGCTGTGATTGTGCCACTGCACTCCAGCCTGGGTGATAGAGCCAGACCTTGTCTCATAATAATAATAATAATGATTAATTAATTTAATTAATTATTTTTTTAAATTTTTTATTTTTTGAGGCGCAGTTTCAGTCTTGTTGCCCAGGCTGGAGTACAATGGCATGATCTCGGCTCACCACAACCTCCGCCTCCCAGGTTCAAGTGGTTGTCCTGCCTCAGCCTCCCTAGTAGCTGGTATTACAGGCATGTGTCACCACACCCGGCTAATTTTTGTATTTTTAGTAGAGACAGGGTTTCTCCAGGTTGGTCAGGCTGGTCTCGAACTCCTGACCTCTGGTGATCTGCCCACCTCGGCCTCCCAAAGTGCTGGGATTACAGGTGTGAGCCACTGCACCTGGCTAAAAAAAGAAATTTGTAATGAAATTGACTTCAAAATAATTTAAAAGTTAAGAAAAAAACCACATTACACAAATATGATATAAACTTAAAAGAATGACATAAAAAAAAACACACAAGAGCAAAAAAGGACGCAATGAAATATGGAAACTAGTGAATGGAAACAGTGAAATGACAAAATAACTAAATAAACTAGTAGCAAGATACCTGAAAGGAAAAGTTGACTGCCAATCAAAATACGTTGCTGGGTGACCAAGAAATCAAAGTTAAGAGAGGTAGATATTTTAGGAGTATTTCATCCAGGTCATAGTAAAACCCAGTCCAGGAATAAAACATTGTATGTATCTATACCAGCCTTGTTTTAAACAAAATCTAAAATAGCTTAAACACAATACAACAGAATTAAAAATTACAACTAAGGCTGAGCCTGGTGGTGCCTGCCTGTAACCCCACCTACTCTGGAGGCTGAGGCAGGAGGATTGCTTGAGGCCAGGAGTTTGAGACTGCCCAGCCTGGACAACATAGCCAGATCTCATCTCTAAAAAAGCAATAAAATGAATTAGCCAGGCTGTTGGGGCACATGCCTATAGTCCTAGCTACTTCCTCAGAAGGCTGAGGCTGGAGGATCACTTGAGCCCAGGAGTTTGAAGCTGCAGTGAGCTATGAGTGAGACCCCAAAATCTCTAAGAAAAAGAAAGAAAAATACGAAGGCAAGTAAAGAGTTAGAAAAATCAGATAAAACCAGTAAGATTAGTATAAACATCATGCTGTGCTGGGGGTGGGGGTCGCAGGTTTGGAACTGAGCTCTCTAGAAGCCAATTCAAAGAGGGAAACACAATCATCACATGGCTTCCAGTGTCCAAAGTCTCAGAAGTAGTGAGACAGCCAGGTGGGAGGGGTTCCCTGGAGAAATGCCAACCAGCCTGCCCACTGAGGTGGAGCCTCAGGAAGTTTGTGCCCTTTGCAGCGGGGAGCAGCCTGGCCCCTCTTCTTAGTGTGTGGATCCTGGGATTTGAATGGCGGGTGGGAAGCGCTCTAGTAGGGACTCTGGCCTAGCGACAGTCCCTGTTTCTCCGTTTTCTTCCTTTTCATCCAATAAAACCCATCTCATTCACCATTCAGATTGTCTGCGAGCCTGAATTTTCGTGGCTGTGGGACAAAGAACCCGTCTTTAGCTGAACTAAGGAAAAGTCCCGCAATAGTAACACAACTAATCCTTTCCCTGAGACCAGGAAGCAGTTTTCTTCTGGTCTCCCTTGACCAGAAGGGGTGTGATAAAGTGAACAACGTCTCAACCACACCACTACCATAAATACAAGTTTTCATAGGATTTATTCATTTCTTCGGTGTTCCTGTTACAGCTGGTGGCACCATGTTCCGGCAGAATCAGTCAGATCAGTGCAGTCCCATGCTGTGTGTCCATGCCACTGGTCTGGCTTAATTCAGGGATGAATTCTAGTGTACATGAAACAGACGGCACACATATTCTTCCATCAAACTGACAGAAGAAGTCTCTCTCCACCCATCTTTTGATATGTAGAGCATGACTGTGAGTTCAGTGTTATTATACACTTGATGTCACAGCCATTTTGAAGCTGCTGATTAAAAGTAGGTTATGGCTGGGCGTGGTGGCTCATGCCTGCAATCTCTTAGGGAGGCTGAGGTGGGAGAATCACTTGAGCCCAGGAGATCAGCCTGGGTAACATACCAGACCCTGTCTCTATTAAAGAAAATTAAGAAAATAAAATTAAAATAGGTTACAACAGAATACTCATGGCCAGAACATACCTGTCTTCATGTTCCCCTGCAGGGAACAATGACTAAACAGCTCATGATTCTTGTCCCTTGAGCCCCGCTTTTCTAGATTCCATAAAGGCCACCCTCTTCTGCATCCACATTCTTTCTTCAGTTGGCGCCTAGTACCATGGATTTGATTTTTGCTTCCTTAGGTCTAGTCTTTATCCATGCATACTTCCCCTTGGCTCCCTTTGATTGGATTTATTTACTCCCCAATTTCCTTAGCACCATCTACAGTGTCTTTTCCAGTTAGTGCCTCTCATTCACTGTGCACAGACTCCCCACAACTTTCATTCGTAGGTGATTAACTTTCATGTAATGTCCTAGGAAACCCTTTACTAGCTGTGTGACTTTAGGCAAATTACTTAACCTCTCTGAGCCATATTTTCATCATTTATAAAGCTCATAATGCCTACCTTGGAAGGATGTTTGGAATTAAAGTAAGTTAGAGGCTGGGTGCAGTGGCTCACACCTGTAATCCTAGCACTTTTGGAGGCCAAGGTGGTCAGATCACCTGAGATCAGGAGTTCTAGACCAGCCTGGTCAACATGGTGAGACCCCCGTCTCTTCTAAAAATACAAAAATTAGGCTGGGCACGGTGGCTTACACCTGTAATCCCAACATTTTGGGAGGCTGAGGTGGGCTGATCACCTGAAGTCAGGAGTTCAAGACCAGCCTGGCCAGCATGGTGAAACCCCATCTCTACCAAAAATACAAAAATTAGTTGGGCATGATGGCGGGTGCCTGTAATCCCAGCTATGCAGGAGTCTGAGGCAGGAGAATCGCTTGAACTTGGGAGGCGTATGTTGCAGTGAGCCGAGATCGCACCACTGCACTCTAGACTAGGTGACAGAGCGAGTCTCAAAAAAAAAAAAAAAAAAAAAATTAGCCGGGGGCGTATTCCCAGCTACTCAGGAGGCTAAGGCAGGAGAATCCTTTGAAGCCAGCAGGTGGAGGTTGCAGTCAGCCAAGATCGTGCCACTGCACTCCAGCCTGGGGGACAGAGTGACACTCTGTCACTCAAAAAATAACATAAAATAAATTATAATAATAATGGTAACAACAGCAAATTGTTATTGAGTTCTTATCGTGCCAGACACGATGCTAAGAATTTCGTATACAAATATTTGGTTGAGTCATCTCAACAAGCCTATCACATGGGAACTCTGACTATCCCCACTTTACAGATAAGGAAGATGAGGCTTAGAGAGCTTAGTGCTGGGCCCATTAGTTACAGTAGTTATAATTATTCAATGTCCTTCAATGTCATGAGAAAGTCACCATCAGCCTGGGAGTTCAGTGGGAGGGTCAGGAAAGACTTGAACAATGAGTTGTTTGCAGATGAATGGGCTTTTGTGTTTGTTTTGTTTTTATTATAAACCCAGTACTATACAGGTCTTTGTAAAAGTACAAAGTACAAAGTTGAAAAGTCCTGAAAAGCTTCTACCACCAAGGAATAACCGCCGAAATAATATCTCATCAGAACTTTCTCCATGAATACACTTTTTAAAAATTATCACCAGCAGTTTCATGGAACACGAATACTCTGTTTAAAAAAGAGATAAGCTTTTATGTCTATATTACTTTATTTTTTCTGAGTACTATTTTTTCCCCTGATTTTCACCGAAAGGGTTGCTCTCTATGTTGTTGTTTCAGCCCTTCCAGTAGTTTAAAACATGCATCTTTAGTTCTAGTCTAATTCATGATTTCCCTTACATCTATTTAAAGTTATAATTTTATTTAGCATCAAAGGTTATTCAGTAGCTTTAGTCTTTCCCCTGAACCAAACACATTTATTTATTTATTTATTTATTTATTTATTTTTGGAATTGGAGTCTCACTCTGTCACCCAGGCTGGAGTGCAGTAGTGCGATCTCAGCTCACTGCAACCTCTGCCTCTGGGGTTCAAGTGATTCTCGTGCCTCAGCTTTCCGAGTAGCTAGGATTACAGTTGCCCGCCACTACGCCCAGCTAATTTTTATATTTTTAGTAGAGATGGGGTTTTGCCATATTGACCAGGCTGGTCTTGAATTCCTGATCTCAAGTGATCCGCCCGCCTCGGCCTCCCAAAGTGCTGGGATTACAGCCATGAGCCACTGCGTCTGGCCACCAAATACATTTTAACTTCTTTCCTCTTTCCATTCCTCTTACTGTACCCTTCTAGGATTCCCTGGGTTTTGTTAAAAGCTTCTGGAACTGGAATGTAGCAAATGAATGTTCCATTTAACAGGCAGAGAAAGAGGAGGTGGGCAAATCACAGAACCAAAGTGCAGAGTGGTGAAGAGCTCCAGTTGCATGCAGGGTGGGGTGGCTGCCAGGGCCCTGGTGCCTTCAGTCATTAGTTCTGCAAATGTTCATGAGTTCCACCAGTGGTGTCTGCCCAGCAGAGAGCAGGAGCAGGGGTGAGGGTGAGGACAAGAGACAGACAGAGCCTGGAGGGGCAGTCAGCTGCACAGGAACGACCTTCTGTGCAAGCTGCAGGCTCTGCACCCAGCCAGTACCTGAGCAGGGTAGAGGTCTGATGAACTGACTTATAGGATGGGCTGGAGGACGCAGAGCCTGTGGGTATGAGGCCAGTTAGGAGAGTGCTGTCACCACCCAGGCAGGAGGCCATGAACATCCCCATATGAGAAAGAAGGGCATAAACAGGAAACAAATTTAACAATTAAATAAAAGCACCTCCCTCATGCAGGAAACTCGCCCTGTGCCAGGCCCTGCAGAACCATCTGCAGAGTCATTTCCTCTCTTGGCAACTTGGCAGCCCCTAGCAAACACAATGCATCTTGGCTTGCCATCAGTGCAACCCTTGTTCTTCAGATACAGGTAAAATGCCAAATCCCTAAGAAGGCCTAGAAGGCTCTGCAGTGTCAGCACCAGCACCCCCACCCCTTGGCCCCTCTCTGTGGTCACTTTCTTGGGTCCTGCAGATGCTCCAGGCTCCACTCAAATTCTATTGGATTAAGGCTCACCCTAATGACCTCATTTTAACTTGATGACCTCTATAAAGACCCTATTTCCTAATCAGATCACATTCTGAGGTACCAGGGATTAAGATTTCAGCGTATCTTTTGGGGGTGGGGGACACATGGTCACATCCTGAATGACTATAGCTCAAACAGGTCTTTGTTAGGTGAAAATAACAGGTGGAAAAATCACTGAGCACTTCACCTTATCTCAAACTTATGACTTCAAAATCTCTACAGTGGACTGGTTTCCCAGCTGACCTCACCTTACGTGGAGTGTTGCCCAATTCACACTCTCCAGCCTTCCCCACACTGACTTTAACTTCCACATATTCCTTCACTTCATTCCTGCATAAACCTGGGTATGGTCCCTTCATTGTCTCTCAGTGATGTGGAAAGTTTTCATGATGAGTCTACCCTGCTCTCTCTAATGCAAGTAGGATACAACAAACAGCATGTTAAGTTAGCAAATTTGACATTAACGTCTATCTTAAAAAGTGGCCAACTATGGGCCAGGCACAGTGGATCACACTTGTAATCCCAGCATTTTGGGAGGCTGAGATGGGCAGATGGCTTCAGCCCAGGAGTTTGAGACCAGCCTGGGCAACATGGCGAAACCCTGTCTCTATTTAAAAAAAAAAAAAAAAAAATTAGCCAGGCATGGTGGTGCACTTGTAGTCCTAGCTACTTGGGAGGCTGAGGTGGGAGGATTGCTTGAGCCTGGGAGGTTGAGGTTGCACTAAGCCAAGATGGCACCACTGCACTCCAGCCTGGCAACACAGCAAGACTCTGTCTCAAACTAACAAACAAACAAACAAAAAAGTGGCCAACAGAGGAGGTAGTAGTTTTGTCACTAGCTGTCATGTGGAACCCCAGGACCTAGCCTTTGGTTTCAAATACTGTTTTTCATTTATAGAAACTAGGACCCCTTAGAATGCAAGGCTTAGGTGACAACTGATTCCATGTCTCAGAGAAGGAAAGAATCAGGACAGGACTTGAATGTTCTGTTGTTGCCATAGAGCAAGGATGACTTCAAGAATGTGAAGGACAGGCTGGGCACGTGGCTCATGCCTGTAATCCCAGCACTTTGGGAGGCCAAGACGGACAGATCACTTGAGCAGAGGGGTTCAAGACCAGCCTGGGCAACGTGGCGAAACCCCATCTCTACAAAAAATACAAAAAGTAGCTGGGCATGGTGATGCATGCCTGTAGTCCCAGCTATGTGGGAGGCTGAAATGGGAGGATCATCTGATGCTGGGAAGGTCAAGACTGCAGTGAGCTGTGACTGTGCCACTCCAACCTGGGCAACAGTGAGACCCTGTCGCAAAAAAGAAAGAAAAGAAAGAAAGAGAGAGAGAGAGAAGGAAGGAAGGAAAGAAGGAAGGAAGGAGGGAAGGAAGGAAGGAAAGTAAGTCAAGGACAGTGCTTAAAAAGACAAAGGAGCCAATTTCAAAGAGCTCCCATTGTTCAAGTTGACAGTCGGGCATGAAAGAAAGAAGATGGGGGGAGGAATGATAATTATGGTTAATTGAAGTAAATTGAATCTGTGGCAGGCCATGAAATCACGATAATAACAGATAAAAATTCACATAAAGGGCACAAAAGATGACTGTAATAGAGAAGAATTGAGTTTTAAAATTTTATTTTAATAAAAAGGGAACTATTCATTTTGTCTCTTCTATTAATTATGTGTCTGTTTATAAAGCAAAGATAGGTGCTTGCTTTTGTCTGTGTAAGCAGAAAACCCACAGAGAATGCTGAGAAAGCCAAGTAGCCCTGTTATAGTAGGCAGCTAGTCAGGCACGAGCAGAGCAGGAGAGGGCTTCCTACCACACACACCCACCAGGAATGCCAGGCGAGCATCAGGTGATGGCCAGGCGGTTATTAACTGTTTCTCTAAAATAATAACTGGTAGCAGCTGGCGCCAGGGACAGGCAGATCCCAATAGATAGAAAAAACCTGAAACTGGTGATCAGCAGCTTCCTGATAAGATCTCAGGAGTTGGGCGAGTGGACTCAAGCATGCTCACTAAGAGGCAAAACTGTGGAGTTTAACTGGTGTATGTCCTTCCTCTACGAATTTTAGACTGGCAAGGGAAGAACGCCTCAAGTGAGCATGCGTACAACTCCAGTAAACACACTGTGCATGCCGCCCTTTCCAAGGGCTAGCAGACCACTGCACATATGGACAGCCCAGCCCAAGGGAAGAATCAAGGGAGAAGGAACACCAAGACCCCCGAAGCATGCAATGTATAAAACCTCAAGTCAGGCCGGGTGCAGTGGCACACCTGTAATCCCAGCACTTTGGGAGGCCAAGGTGGGCAGATCACCTGAGATTAGGAGTTTGAGATCAGCCTGGCCAACATGGTGAAACCCCGTCTCTACTAAAAATACAAAAATTAGCCAGGCTTGGTGGTGCACACCTGTAATCCCAGCTACTTGGGAGGCTGAGGCAGGAGAATCGCTTGAACCCGGGAGGCGGAGGTTGCAGTGAGCCAAGATTGCACCACTGTACTCCAGCCTGGGTGACAGGGAGAGACTCCATCTCAAAAAAAAAAAAAACAAAAAACAAACAAAAAAAGACCCAAGTCAAAAGATCAAACCACATACTTGATCTCTAAAGTCGTCCACTTGGCCCTCTTCCAAATGTACTTTCCTTCCTGCTCTAAAGCCTTTTAATAAACTTTCACTCCTGCTCTAAAACTTGCCTCGTTGTCTCCTGCCTTATGCCCCTCAGTCAAATTCTTTCTTCTGAGGAGGTAAGAATTGAGGTTGCTGCAGACACCTACGGATTCACCGCCAGTAACAGCCCTGCTGTAAGTATGAATGTTAGCAGAAATAAGAACGTCTGACATGAGATGATGTCAGAGGCAATAATGAAAGAGAAGGGAGTTTCAATAGTAGGTACCAAGACAATAAATTAACCAAAAATATCACTAAAAAGAAGAGCTAACCAAGTCAACCCAATTCTTCATCTTCTAGAATATTGAATATTTAAATTGCCCTACTAGTTATAATAAAATACAAATAAGATATGCATAAGATTTAATACTGCTAACAGATCAAGTCAGTATATCATAATGAGAGAAAAATTCATTATGTAATAATGGTCAAGAGATTATTGAAGTGTGTTATATTAGGGGGAGAAAATATGTTGTGAGATTCTTGTTTGTTTTTTTGTTTTTGTTTTTTGATACGAAGTCTCGCTCTGTCACCCAGGTTGGAGTGCAATGGAGTGATCTCGGCTCACTGCAACCTCCGCCTCCTGGGTTCAAGCGATTCTCATGCCTCAACCTTCCGACTAGCTGGGATTACAGGCATGTGCCACCACGCCCGGCTAATTTTTGTTTTTTCAGTAGAGACAGGGTTTTGCCATGTTGGCCGGACTGGTCTTGAACTCCTGACCTCAGGTGATCCATTCTCCTCAGCCTACCAAAGTGCTGGGATTACAGGTGTGAGCCACCGTGCTTGGCCCGCAAAATTCTAAAATTTATGTAAAAGATGTGTACCTAACTAAAAGCAGTTATATTCCTCAGTGAGATATAATTTCACACCCACTAGGCTGGCTATAGTAAAAAGAGAGATAATAAGTGTTGGCAAGGGTGTGGAAAAATTGGCACTCTCATGCACAGCTGTTGGACAGTGAAATGGTACAGCACTTTGGAAAATAGTCTGACCATTCCTCCAAAGGTTGAACATGGAGTTACTGTATGACTCAGCAATCCTACTTCTAGGTTTATAGCCCAGAAAAATGAAAATCTATGTCTACACAAGAACTTGTTCACAAATGTTCATAGCAGCATTATTCATAATAGCCAAACAACAACGACAACAACAACAACAATAAAAAATGGAAATGGCCTAAATGTCCCTCAACGGATGAATGGAAAATAAAATGTGATATATACAGCCATACGCTAGAATAAAAATGAATTTGAAAATAAAAAGAAATAAAGTACTGATATGTGCTACAACATGGATGAACCTTGAACACATTGTGCTAAATGAAAGAAGCCAGTCAAAACGACACCATGTTGTATTATTCCATTTATATGAAATGTACAGAATAGGTAAGTCCTTAGAGACAAAAAGTAGATGAGTGGCTGCTTAGGGCTGGGGTGGAGTAGGGGAGGGTTAGGAGATTGGGAGTGACTGCTCATGGGTTTGGGCTTTCTTTTGGGGTTGATGAAAATGTTCTGAAATTGATTATGGTGTTGGTTTTGTAACTCCATGAGTATACTAAAAACTACTCCCTGGTTTTGTACATTTATTTATTTTTATTTCATTTTATTATTATTTATTTATTTATTTATTTATTTATTTTGAGACAGAGTTTCTCTCTTGTCGCCCAGGCTGGAGTGCAATGGCACAATCTTGGCTCACCGCAACCTTCCGCCTCCTGGCTTCAAGCAATTCTCCTGCCTCAGCCTCCCAAGTAGCTGGGACTATAGGCATGCACCACCACGCCCGGCTAATTTTGTATTTTTAGTAGAGATGGGGTTTCTGCATGTTGGTCAGACTGGTCTTGAACTCCCAACCTCAGGTGATCCGCCTGCCTCAGCCTCCCAAAGTGCTGGGATTACAGGAGTGAGCCACCACGCCCGGCCTCATTTTATTATTTTATTAATGATTTTTTAATTTTGTGTGTACGTTGTAGGTATATATGTTTATGGGGTACATGAGATATTTTGGTGCAGGCATGCAGTGTGTCATAATCACATCATGGAAAATTGGGTATCCATCCTTTCAAGTATTTATCCTTTGTGTTACAAACAATGCAATTATACTCTTGTAGTTATTTTTAAATGTACAATTAAGTTATTATCAGCTGGGCGCAGTGGCTCATGCCTATACTCCTAACACTTTGAGAGGCCGAGGCGGGCGGATCACCTGAGGTCCGGAGTTTGAGACTAGCCTGGCCAACATGGTGAAACCCCATCATTCCAAAAAATACAAAAATTAGCCAGGGGTGTTGGTGCATGCCTGTAATCCCAGCTACCCGGGAGGCTGAGGCAGGAGAATCACTGGAGCCCAGGAGGTGGAGGCTGCAGTAAGCTGAGAAGGTGCCACTATACTCCAGCCTGGGCAACAGAGGGAGATTCCATCCGAAAAAAAAGAAAAAAAAAGTTATTATTGACTGTAGTCCTCCTGTTGTGCTATCAAATACCAGGTCTTATTCATGCTTTCTAACTATTTTTTTTGTCCCATTAACCATCCCCACGTGTCCCCCATAGCTCTACTCTTCCCAGCCTTTGGTAACCATCCTTCTACTGTCTCTGTCCATGAGTTCAATTGTTTTGATTTTAGATCCCACAAATAAGTGAGAACATGTGATGTTTGTCTTTCTATGCCTGGCTTATTTCATCTAACATAATGACCTCCAATTCCATCCATATTGTTGCAAATGACAAGATACCATTCTTTTTATGGCTGAATAGTACTCCATTATGTATATGTACATTTTCTTTATCCATTCATCTGTTGATGGACACTTTAGTTGCTTCCAAATCTTGGCTATTATGAACAGTGCTGCAGTAAACTATAGTTATTATTTTCTATTGGTTCATCATTTAGTCTTTCTACTTTAAGACAGGAGTAGTTTACCTACCACCATTAAATTATTATACTATTCTGTGTTTTTCTGTATACTTGCTATTACCAGTGAGTTTTGTAATGAGATTTATTCTCATTCATTAACATCCTTTTCTTTCAGATTAAAGAGCTCCCTTTAGCATTTCTTGTCAGACAGGTCTGGTGTTGATGAAATCCCTCAGCTTTTGTTTGTCTGGAAAAGTCTTTATTTCTCCTTTATGCTTGAAGGATATTTTCACTGGATATACTATTGTAGGGTAAAAGTTTTTTTCCTTCAGCACTTGAAATATGTCATGCCACTGTCTCCTGGCCTGTAAGGCTTCCACTGAAAAATCTGCTGCCAGACTTATTGACGCTTTGGGAGTTTGATCATTAAATGCCTTGAGGTAGTCTTTGAGTTTAATCTGCCTGGCATTCTATAACCTTCTTTTATTTGAATGTTGATATCTTTCCATAGGTTTGGGAAATTCTGTTATTTCTCTGAATAAACTTTCTATCTCTATGTCTTCTGTACCTCCTCTTTAAAGCCAATAACTCTTAGATTTGCCCTTTTGAGGCTGTTTTCTAGATCTCGTAGGCATGCTTCATTGTTTTTTATTATTTTTTCTTTTGTCTCCTCTGACTCTGTATTTTCAAGGAGCCTGTCTTCAGGCTCACTAATTCTTCTGCTTGATTAATTCTACAATTCAGAGATTCTGTCTTTTCTGAAAGATTAAAATAAATAAAATTTTAAAAAGGCTGGGCACAGTGGGTCACACCTGAAATCCAAGCACTTTGAAAGGCCAAGGCAGGCGGATCAACTGAGATCAGGAGTTCGAAACCAGCCTGGCCAACACAACAAAACCCTATCTCTACTAAAAATACAAAAATTAGCCAGGCGTGGTGGTGGGCATCTGTAATCCCAGCTACTCGGGAGGCGGAGGCAGGAGAACCTCTCGAACCCAGGAGACGGAGGTTGCAGTGAACTGAAATTGTGCCACTGCACTCCAGCCTGGGTAACAGAGTAAGACTCTGTCCCCCCCACAAAAAAAAAAAGAAAGAAAGAAAAGGAAAAAGGAAAAAGAAAAAAAATTTTCAAAAAAATTTTCAAAAGAGTCGTACATTCTTCAGCATGTCCATTGTATTTTTCAACTATTGAATTTCTGCCTGATTCTTTTTAATTATTTCATTCTCCTTGTTAAATTTATCTGATAGAATTCTGAATTCTTTCTCTATGCTATCTTAATTTTTTTTTTTTGGAGATGGAGTCTCACTCTGTCACCCAAGCTGGAGTGCGGTAGCGTGATCTCGGCTCACTGCAACCCCTGCCTCCTGGGTTCAAGCGATTCTCCTGCCTCAGCCTCCTGAGTAGCTGGGACTGCAGGCACGTGCCACCACGCCCAGCTAATTTTTTGTATTTTTAGTAGAAATGGGGTTTCACCATGTTAGCCAGGATGGTCTCGATCCCGATCTCGCGATCCGCCCTCCTCAGCCTCCCAAAGTGCTGGGATTTCAGGCATGAGCCACCGTACCCGGCCCTTGAATTTCTTTTAGTTTCCTCAAAACATCTATTTTGAATGATCTATCTGAAAGATCATATATCTCTTTTTCTCCAGGATTGGTCCCTGATAGCCTATCTAGTTCATTTGATGAGGTCATGATGGTATTGATGCTTATAGGCGTTTGTCGGTATCTGGGCATTGAAGAGTTAGGTATTTATTGTAGCCTTCACAGCCCTGGGCTTGTTTGTGCCTGTCCTTCTTGGGAAACCCAATAATGCTGTGGTTTTGCAGACTCTTAGAAGTACTGCCTTGGTGGTCTTGGATAAGAGCTGGAAGAATTTTCTGGATTATCAGGCATAGACTCTTGTTCTTTTTGCTTACTTTCTCCCAAACATACAGTCTCTCTCTCTCTTGCTGAGCCACCTGGAGCTGGGGGTGTGGTGACACAAGCACCCCTGTGGCCGTCACTGGGACTGCACTGGGTCAGATCTGAAGCCAGCACAGCACTGGGTCTTTGCCAGGGCCTTCCCTTCAGGGCAACAAGTTCCTCTAGGCTAAGAGCTTCTCCAGAGATGCTGTCTGGGAGCCAGGGATTGGAGTCAAAAACTTTGGTAATTTACCTGATGTTCTGTTCTACTGTGGCTAAGCGGGCGCTGACACCACAATACAAAGTCCCTCCCACTCATCCCTCCCCTTTCCTTAGGCAGAGGAGCCTCTCCCTATGGCAACCACCACCACCAGTCCACAGCAATTCTGCCAGTCCACCACCAATGTTCACTTAAAGCCCAAAGGTGGCCGGCTGTGGTGGCTCACGCCTGTAATCCCAGCACTTTGGGAGGCCGAGGCAGGTGGATCACTTGAGGTCAGGAGGTCAAGACCAGCCTGACCAACATGGTGAAACACTGTCTCTACTAAAAATACAAAAATTAGCCAGGTGTGGTGGTGGGTGCCTGTAAGCTCAGCTTCTTGGGAGGCTGAGGCAGGAGAACCTCTTGAACCCAGGAGACGGAGGTTACAGTGAGCCCAGATGGTACAACTGCACTCCAGTCAGGGTGACAGCAAGACTCCGTCTCGAAAAAATAAAAATAAAAATTAAAGCCCAAGAACTCTTCCATCAGCTTGTGGTGAATGTTGCCAAGCCTGGGACTTACCTTTCAGGGCAGCAGGCTCCCCTCTGGACCTGCCATGAGCCAGAGGGGCAGGTCCAGGACAGAATCTACACCTAGATTTGGGGACTCCAAGAGACTGCTTGTTGCTCTGCCCTACCATGGTTGAGCTGGTGCCTAAGGTACAAGACAAAGTCCCCTTTACTTTTCCCTCTGCTTTTCTCAAACTGCAGGAGTCTTTCACCATAGCCACCATAGCTGGGAATGTGCTGGGTTACTGCTGAAGACAGCATGTCTCAGAGTCTCACCCAAGGCCCACAGTGTACTACCTGGTTATTGCTGCTAGTTATGCAGGGCCCAGGGGCTCTTTAGTCAGCAGGTGATGAATCCTGCAAGTACTGGGCCCTTCTCTTCAAGGCAGCAGCTTCCCTTTTGGCCCAGGTATCTAAAAATGACATCTGGGAGTTGGGCCTGGAATGGGGGCCTCATGACTTGGCCCAGTGCCCTATCCTACTGTGGCTGAGCTGGTATCCAAGATGCAAGACCAAGTCCTCTTTACCCGTTGCTCATCTCTCCTTAAGCAGAGGGAAGGAGTCACTTTCGTTGCTAGGAGCTGCACTGCCTGGGATTGGAGAAGGGGTGGCACAAGCCCTCCCTTAGCCATACCGGCTGGTGTCTACCTAGGTCAAGTGCAACCCTAGTCCATTGGCTGTAAGTCCAGCCGAGCACTAGGAGTTGTCTAGGAATTGCAGTCCTTGGGTCCTAGACTGCCTTTTCTTTTTTTTCTTTTGTGGAAATATGGCCTCCTTATGTTGCCCAGGCTGGTCTCAGACTCCTGGGCTCAAGTGTCCCTCCTGCCTCAGCTTCCCCAAGTGCTGGGATTATAGGTGTGAGCCACCGCATCCAGCCTAGACTGCCTTTCAAGTTTACCTAGGACACCAGAGCACTTTGGCCCATGGTGGTGAGGCTTGCAGAGAAACTCAAGTTCCAACCACTGGGACAGGTGATTTCCCTCTGGCTAGGGCTGGCCCAGATGCCCCCCTCCACATGCAGGTGCCGGTCGATCCCAGCATGACTTTGCTCTCCGCTATGACAGTGCAGCAGTGAGTTCAATATAAAGTCCCCCACCCCATGCCCTCCCTCCCCAAAATGCAAAGACTCTCTTTCCACGCTGCAGGGACACTGCCAGGGAGGACGGAAGGGGCGTCACAATTCAAGACTGTCTCTCCTGCCCTCCTCAATGTTTCCTTTAGTGATATGAAGTTAAATCCAGTTACTGTGATTGCTCACCTGATTTTTGGTTCTTGTGATGATGCTTCTCTGTGTGCAGATAGTTGTTAAAAGTTAGTGTTCCAGGCTGGGCACAGTGGCTCATGCCTGTAATCCCAGCACTTTAGGAGGCTGAGGTGGGAGGATCATTTGAGGCCAGGAGTTCAAGATCAGTCTGAGCAACATAGTGGGACCCCATCTCTATAAAAATTTAAAAATTACCCAGGTGCAGTGGTGCAGGCCTGTTGTCCCAGCTACTTGGAAGGCTGAGGTGGGAGGACTCCTTGGGCTCAGGAGGTTGAGGCTGCAGTGAGCCCTGATGGTGCCACTCCACTTCAGCCTGGGTGATAGAGGAAGACTCTGTCTCCAAAAAATAAAAATAAAATAATAATAATAATTGCATTCGTAGGCCGGGTGCAGTGGCTCACACCTGTAATCTCAGCAGTTTGGGAGGCCAAGGTGGGTGGATGACCTGTGGTCAGGAGTTCAAAACCAGCCTGACCAACATGGTGAAACCCCATCTCTACTAAAAATAAAAAATTAGCCGGGCATGGTAGTGCACACCTGTAATCCCTGCTACTTGGGAGGCTGAGGCAGGAGAATTGCTTGAACCCGGAAGGCAGAGGTTGCAGTGAGCAGACATCGCGCCATTGCACTACAGCCTGGGCAACAAGAGCGAAAATCCATCTCAAAAAAAAAAACGCATTTGCTTCTTAGGGGGTTTCAGACATTTAAGAGAATCCTATGTATTAAATGCAAGATTTTTTTTTTTTTTTTAAGATGGAGTCTTGCTCTTGTCACCCAGGCTGGAGTGCAATGGCGCGATTTCGGCTCACTGCAACCTCTGCCTCCTGGGTTCAAGCGATTCTGCTGCCTCAGTCTCCTGAGTAGCTGGGATTATAGGCGCTTGCCACCATGCCCAGCTAATTTGTATATTTTTAGTAGAGACAGGGTTTCACCATGTTGGTCAGCCTGTTCTCGAACTCCTGACCTCAGGTGATCCACCCGCCTCGGCCTCCTAAAGTGCTGGGATTACAGGTATGAGCCACTGTGCCCAGCTAAATGAAAGATTTTAATTAAATGCTTAAATGAGTTTAAGTCTAAAATCAATATTTAGGCCGGGCGCAGTGGCTCACGCCTGTAATCCCAGCACTTTGGGAGGCTGAGGTGGGTGGATCACAAGGTCAGGAGATCGAGACCATCCTGGCTAACACGGTGAAACCCCATCTCTACTAAAAATACAGAAAAATTAGCCAAGCGTGGTGGTGGGCACCTGTAGTCCCAGCTACTCAGGAGGCTGAGGCAGGAGAATGGCGTGAACCTGGGAGGCAGAGGTTGCAGTGAGCCGAGATCACGCCACTGCACTCCAGCCTGGGTGACAGAGAAGACTCCGTCTCAAAAAAATAAATAAATAAATAAATAAATAAATAAATAAATAAATAAAATCAATAATGTGTTTTAATCAGTTTGGATTATTAAATCCATAAATGTCTATGTATTAGTTGTGTACATAGTGTATAAATAGAAGAATATTATTTAATGCTTAAATGCTATTTGTTTAATAAATTCATAAGAGAAACAAAATTACATTAAGTAGAAATACCTTAATGACATTTAGACACTGAGAGGGTGTCCCAGGAAAAGAGAGGGGCACCTGAACTTGAAGGCTGGTGACAGATGTTTAAGGGGCCACTAACATACCAGATAGATTTTATCTTCCTAGACTCATCATCTTTGCACCTATTAATCATGAACAGAGTTAGTTCTCCTGAATTCATCATATGAAAATGTCACAGTGGACAGAGAGACTCAAGAGAAGTGAGTTTTGACTGGGTGAGTCAAGAGGGATTATGGTCCTGAGTAGCCAGGGAGTGATTTAAGTACGGGATTCAGAGAAAGGAGGGACAGAGGAAGAGGTGCTAAAGAAACAACCCTCTGGCCGGGCGGGGTGGCTCACGCGTGTAATCCCAGCACTTTGGGAGGCTGAGGCGGGCGGATCACGAGGTCAGGAGATCAGACCATCCTGGCCAACATGGGGAAACCCCGTCTCTACTGAAAAATACAAAAATTAGCTGGGGATGGTGGCACATGCCTGTAATCCCAGCTACTCGGGAGGCTGAGGCAGGGGAATCGCTTGAACCAGGGAGTCGGAGGTTGTGGTAAGCAGAGATCACGCCACTGCACTCCAGCCTGGCAACAGAGCGAGACTCCGTCTCAAGAAAAAAAAAAAAAAAAAGAAAGAAAGAAAGAGAAAAAAAAAACACCTGCTGCATCAGTCACAACTGCCATCCTGAGGCCAAGAAGAACTAAATGGTCTCAAAATTATTTCACAACTTGTTGCTACCACCTTTCCACAGTGGGGCTTGTCTAGCCAGAGAATCAAACATTAATTCACTTTAGGCTGGTCATGGTGGCTCATACCTGTAATCCCAGCACTTTGGAAGGCCGAGGCAGGAGGATCACTTGAGGCCAGGAGTTCAAGACCAACCTGGGCAACAAGCGAGACCCCCATCTCTACAAACAAACAAACAAACAAAAGAGTAAGCACGTCATACACATCATAGAATTCTAAGAACTGAAGTAACCTTGTAACATTTAGTTCATGGTAAATACATAAAGGAAACTATTATTATTATCACCCAACAGTGTGTGTGTAAGTGAAAAATGTCTTTTTTACTGACAAATGGCTAAGTGAATGCTGTTTGTTTGAGGGATGAAATATTTAAATGAGAAGCCAACTCAACTCTTCCTCTTGATCTTAGAGTCATTCTCTCAAGTGTAACTCCCAGTGCAAAGCATCACATCAACTTATCAATCGACTGTGATGTCAACTACAGCCTCTGCACCAGACCAGCCCTCCTCTGTGGGACGAAGAACTATCCTGTGGTCCTGCCAGGACTGCCTCACTGGGACAACGCACTGCATTAGGATCTATCCCTTACGATGGCTCAGGGTTTTCCAGTCTCTAAGGCACCTTATCATTATCTTACCTAAACTTCCTAATAATCCTGTGAGGGAGGCTGGACATCTGCTTTCATCCCATGTTACAGATGAGAAAACGAAGGTCCACAGAGGTCAATGACTTGCCTAAGGTGACCTGGCACAGAAAGTTGTGTGGCAGAAGGGGAACTTCTGTTTCCTAACTTCTGGATAAGCGCCCTCCTAGGATAGGAGAAATGAATGACTCTTGCTACTCCAGCCACCACTTCCACTAATTAACCACTAATAAAAATGTAAAAATCAGTATGCCAGCAGTAGTCCCTGTTGCAAACATTAGGACCTTTCTCATATCACAGATTACTGAAGACATTCCCTCTCTTTTTGTTGTAGTTGTTGTTGTTTGGTTTTTGGGTGTTGTTTTTGTTGTTGTTGTTGTTTTTCTGAGATGGAGTTTCCCTCTTGTCACCTAGGCTGGAGTGCAATGGTGCAATCTCAGCTCACTGCAACCTCTACCTCCCAGGTTCAAGCGATTCTCCTACCTCAGTCTCCCGAGTAGCTGGGATTACAGGCGCCCACCACCACACCTGGCTAACTTTTTATTTTTAGTAGAGACAGGGTAGCACCATGTTGGCCAGGCTGGTCTTGAACTCCTAATCTCAGGTGATCCACCCTCCTTAGCCTCCCAAAGTGCTGGGATTACAGGTGTAAGCCGCCTTTCTTTTCTTTTCTTTTTTTTTCCTTTTTAGTCTTGCCCTGTCACCCAGGCTAGAGTGCAGTGGAATGATCATGGCTCACTGCAGCCTCAACCTCCCAGGCTCGGGTGATCCTCCCACCTCAGCCTCCCAAGTAGCTGGTACCACAGGCATAACACCATGCCAAGCTAATATTTTATTTTTTTTAAAGTTTATTTTTGCTCTTATGATGATGATTTTTTTTTTGAGACAGAGTCTCACTCTGTTGCCCAGGCTGGAGTGCAGTGGCACAATCTCAGCTCACTGCAACCTCCATCTCCCAAGTTCAAGCAATTCTTATACCTCAGCCTTCCCTCTAGCTGGGATTACAGGCGTGCAACACCATGCCTGGCTAATTTTTGTATTTTTAGTAGAGATGGGGTTTCACCACATTGGCCAGGCTGGTCTCCACCTGCCTTGGCCTCCCAAAGTGTTGGGATTACAGGTGTGAGCCACCATGCCCGGCCTACTCTTAATTTTTTTTTTAAGTGCTCAAGCTAATTTTTTAATTACTATTTGTAGAGATGAGGTCTCCCTATGTTGCCCAGGCTGGTCTAGAATTCCTGGGCTCAAGTAATCCTCCTGCCTCAGCTCCCAAAGTGCTGAAATTACAGACATGAGCCACCATGCCCAGTTCCACCATTTTTTAAGCAACAACTAACGTTAATCCAAAGACCACCCTGAGGGGACTGGCCACATCCCCCTGGGACCCTCCACTGTTAAAGTCCATCTTCCCTGAGCCATCAGCACCAAGCATCAGATGAACTTCACTGCCCTGGCTCAGTGTTGCCTGTGTGTGAGCCTCAGCTCCCCATCCTCTCTGGGCCTCAGTGTCTTCCCTGTGCAGTATGCCCCGCAGTGCCCACCCAATGGGGTTGTTGTGAGGATTTGCTGGAAGGGTGTGTGTGCAAGCCCCTTGTCCAGGACCTGGCCTATATGTAAATATAATAAAAGTTCGTTGTTATTTCTGTTAATTGCATATTGTACTTGAATACTCCCTGGACAGATAATGAGAAAAATGAGGTTTGAGTCACCACCCCTGTCACTTGTAACCCTGTGTGACTTGCTTAATCCCTCTAAATCTCAGTTCCTCCATCTGTAAAAATCTTTTTTTTTTTTTGAGACGGAGTCTCGCTCTGTCACCCAGGCTGGAGTGCAGTGGCGCGATCTCGGCTCACTACAACCTCCAACTCCCGGGTTCAAGCGATTCTCCAGCCTCAGCCTCCTAAGTAGCTGGCATTACAGGCACCATGCCTGGCTAATTTTTGTGTTTTTAGTAGAGATGAGGTTTCACCATGTTCCCCATGTTGGACTAGGCTGTCTCGAACTCCTCAGGTGATCCGCCTGCCTCGTTCTCCCAAAGTGCTGGGATTACAGGTGTGAGCCACCGTGCCTGGCCGCAAAAATCTTATAATGCCTTCCTCACAGAGAATAATGAAGGTTAAATGATGAAACGCACAGAGCATTTTAATGCTGAGAAGGGCTTCATGAGGTTGTTGAAAAATGTCAGTGAGGCTCTGGGAGGGCTACAGCCGGAGTGTAGATTAGACTCTGGGTGTAGCCGCATGGCTCAGGAATTGAGTGGAAGAAGAGAGATGATGAGAGAGGGGGAGGGACAGAGAGAGAGGATCAGCCATTCCTTCGTGCCTGCTGAGTGCCTGCCCTGGTCCAGACCCTGTTCTTTGTGCTGGGGGTGCAGCAGTGAACTAAAGAGACAAAGCCCCTGTCCTCGTGGTGCTTATGCTCTAGTGAGTCTGTGGAACAGAGCAGGGGACTGTTGACACCAAATTTAAATGTGCGAATAGGAATGACTATGCAGAAGAGGCCACCAGGAAGAGGGACAGAGAGAAATGAGACTCCAGGCTTGATAGAATGACCTTGGGCTGGTGGAAGAGGCAGGTGCTGAAAACAGGCATGGAACCCCTTGCCCTAGGGCAGGGAGAAACCAAGAGAGTCCAAGCTGGGAAAAGAATCAGGTGAGGAGGTTGAGGTGTTGACGAAGGGAGTGTGCTTGGTGATGGGAAAGGTGGGCTCTGAGGAAGGTGTTCCAGGAAGGACTTCTCAGTGTAGGATGGAGCCTTATGGCAGACGCTGGGACCGGGCATCTTCTCCAGAAATGCCCATCTGCCACTCAGGCAGGCAGGCAGGCAGCTCCCTACCCCTTGAGTTCTGGTGTTTTTCCTACTCCTTTCTCCCCTCCCACAAGCTGCCCAACTCCCAGGGACCTGACTGGATGGAGAGTACATACACCTGGACCACTGCAGGCATGGCACAGGGAAGAGAGAATCCAGACCCAAATCACCTCCAACCCACACCTGCTGATTCTTCCGTGCTTTTGTAGCCTGACCCTTCGCTGCCGTCACTCCAACTCCTGTGTGAGGATGTTGAGCTCCTGGGAAAACCGAAGGGAGGGCAGGAGAGACAATACTGTGACCAAAGGCTGAGACTGTGTCATCACTTGGGAATGAAAGCATCAAATGCCACCCCAGGTGGGATTGTTGGCTTCAAGGTTTTTTTCTCCCTTTCCTTTCTCCCTTTTCTCTTTTCCTTTATCGAGGTCTGCTATTTACTCAGCAACTCTTCAAAGTCTGTGGTTCTGTGGGACACAATGTGCTAAATGATGCCTGTAAGGGAGGAGGTCGATGTACCTCCACTTCCAAGAAGCTTGACTTTCCGGGGAAGAAAAGACAAGTGAAGCGTAGACATTGCGACTTTTGGCTTCCTGTTTCTGTGAGTTGCAAGGAATCCTGTCCACCTGGCCCTGGAGCCGCCTTCTGGGACCTCATCCTTGCCCCCTGCTGCAGGTGCCATCTCAATTAGTCCTGCTGTCCCTCCTCCCCCTTTCAGATTCCAGCACAATTCTGGAACAGCTCTCCCACCTGGCCGGGGTGAGACTGAGGCTCCACCCTCAAGCACTTGGGCACTGATCCTTTGTGAAGGATGGGGATAGCAAGACAGCGTCTGCAGGGGCCCCTAGAGGGCCGTGGGGATGGCTAGAAAACAGGAATGAACAGACTCACTTCAGCTTATGCCCAGACTCACTTCAGCTTATGCCCAGAAACAAAGAAACCAAGGAGAAGCAAATTCCATAAGTGCTTTTATTTTATTGGAGATGAGCAGGGGAGGCACTGAAAAGTGGGGATAGTGCTGGAAACATGCTGACAGGGCCTGGATTGAGCCCACACAGCAAGGGGCGGGAGCAGGACTCTAACTCCCAATGTTGGGTTTCCCTCTATCGTGCTCTAGCCCCACTGCAACCTAGGGCTTGGAGGATTAGGGAAGCCAGCTGGGATGTTCCAAGAAGAGCCAGGAGGGCGGAGGACTCCAGGAGGAAATGGGTTATTGATACCTGGGTATAGATGAATATTCCCCCAGCTGCCTCCTGGATACCGATTAATATTCCCCCAGCTGCCTCCTGGATACCGATTAATATTTCCCCAGCTGCCTCCTGGATACCGATTAATATTTCCCCAGCTGGTACCTGGGGGTTGATTATTGATACCCCAGATTCCCTCAGGGTGTGGCATGGGCCTCGTTCCCCAACCAGTCCCAGGGCCTCCACCTCCCCAGGACACACTGGGATTCAGGGTACCCCAGGGGTGATCAGGCAGAACCCTGTGGATGAGAGACCAGGGAGGGCGTTGGGAAAGGATTTTTCCCCCGGCTCCCAGTGAATTAGAACGGGGCAGTCGTCTGGACTCCGAGTCCTGGTGGAGGAGTGAAGCCTTGGGTGAGAGGCCTGTGGCATCGGGAGAAGACTCCCCAGGCAAAGGGCCACTGCCCGGAGCGAGGGCCGCAGCACTGGAGAGGTAAGAGAGTTCTTCAGGCAGCGCTTCCCCCAGGCGGTCCTCAGCCGCAGCAGCCATCATCTGCCAAGGATCCTCAGGGGGCCAGGAATCCATGGCAGGCAGCCCCCACGATGGAGGCCACCTCTGCACTGCAGAACCTCCTGCAGGTGGGAAGCCATCTGATGCAGGCACGCTGAGCTTCAGAGGAACCCTTGCCAAGTCATTAGACCTAGGGTCCAGAGCGGGCTGCGGATGTTCAGAGTTAGAGGGGCCAGTGGAGGAAGGTTGTCCGAGCTGAGGCAAGTTGGTCCCCAAGTTTTGGGAAACTTTCTCCTCCACAACACCGATGCTCCGGGCAAAGAGGCCTGAGGGAAAGGGAAGATAAAGCAACCAGTGGTCTCCAGTCCCCGAGTCCCCAGTTCCCTTTGCTTCCCCTATGCCTATTCTTCCTTTTCCCTCAGGGACCTAAATGTGTACCCTCCTGCCTTTACCCCTTTCCTTAATTCCTGTTTCCTGGGGGACCTCCAGTCCCTCCTGCCCAAGGGCATCACGGCCTCCATACCTGGGAGATGAAGACAGACCAGGAGCAGGCCCAGAGGAGCGCAGCTCCCTGCCACGCGGCCCTGCATCCTGCTCAGCACCCGATCTCCCTCAGCCCCAAGACAGCCAGCCCTTTATCCTGGTAGTGGGGTGGGGGACAGCAGAAACAGGCTGGGCTAGTGGTTGTGAAGACAATAAACCTCCACATTCCACCCTCATTCCTAATGTGGTCTGTGGCAACAGGTGTCACTTGAATGAATGTCCCAGAGGAAGCTGGGTGTCTCCCGCCCTGGCTCCTTTCCTTGACCTCCCTGCCCCTTCTTGGCCCAGGTGTCCTGGCTCACAGCTCATCCCTGGTTGCCAGCCTCCCCAGCCCTGCTTCTCTATACACAAGGACCTCCACCCTGGGGTCCCACTCTCTTAATTGCCTCTCTCAGCAACAGAAACACTTGTTTCTTTTTGGGAGCTGGATTGTTTCCTCCCAGCACCCCTTTCTCATGCATCCTCATATCTCCTTCACCTTGGCCCCAACCTGCAGGAGGTTCTGGGGTGCAGAAGTGGCCCCATCTGAGGAGCTGCTCCTACATGAGACCCTGGATCTAGCTAGGGAAATGGACCTGGATGCCATCCTTATGAGATACTGACTAATTCCTGCTGCTGCAGTGACAAATTACCATGAACCGAATGGCTTACAACAACATGGATTTATTACTTTACAGTTTTGGAGATCAGAAGTCTAAAACAGGTCTCAGTGGATTAAAATAAAGGTGTCAGCAGGGCTGTGATTCTTTCTGGGGGCCTCAGGGGAAAATCCCTTTCCCTGCTTTTTCACCTTCTAGAGGCATCCTGTGTTCTTTGGCTCATGGTCCCCTTCCTCCATCTCCAAAGCCAAAATCAGCCATTTCTTACACTGTATCACTCAGACTTCCTCTTCTGCCTCCCATGTCCACATTAAGGGACCTGGTGACTACACTGGACCCACCTGAATAATCCATGATAATCTCTGTGAAGTCAGCCGAATAGCAACCTTAATCCCATCTGGAACCTTAATTTCCCTTTGCCATGTAACCTAATTCCTACGTTCCAGGGATTAGGATGTGGACATCTTTGATGGTGTTGGGGTTGAAGACATCATTCTGCCTGCTACTGGTGGTCAGATGTGCCATAGAGTATAAGAAACCTTGGGAGAAAGTGGCTATTTCCAAGTAACAGTAGAGGAGAGCCTTTAAATGCTGCTGTCAAATGGCCAGGACTTGTTGAAGCTGGGATCCTTGTTGAAGCTGGGCGATGAGAATGTAGAGATTCATTAACAGTTTGTTGGCTTTTAAATATGTTTGCAAATTTTATTATAAAAATGCAATGGCTTTGTTCTCTCCATGGCTTCCGGGAGGCCCCAGGAGTAGGCTTCCCTGGCTGCCCAAGGTCTAAACATGAGCTGTTGGCTGATTCTACTGCTGTGTCCTCCCCACCTGCCCCTGCTGGCTTAACCACTGGAGGAGTGAAGAGCTCCTCTCCAGAACTGGCAGTGGATGGAGCCCAGAGGCCTTTTTGGATGACATGCATGAGTTTTACACAAGCTTTTAATTTGGAGCACAGCAGGAGACTCGAGGAAACACCACATCAGAGAGCCTTCTCTCCCTGCAATTCCCATTCATGAAGCATCTGAGGACCTCGATTCCTGCCATTGGCTGCAGATCAGGGGCCAGATGCTGGACCAAGGGTGATTCAATCCCTTTCTGGTCAATGTAATACATTTTTGCTGATTCCAGACTTGGAGTTTCAACAGTTCTAAATTCAGGACCAGACAGCACCACCCTGATAGGAGGGAATGGGTTAAGTGCTACAGTAGGGGTGAATTCCTTTGCAGCCAAGCAGAGGCTCTGAGAGGTGGCCTGGGGTGGGGGGTGGGGCTCCTACAGGGACAAGCACAATCCACTCTGCCCTCCTTGGGATGCGGGAACTTCGTCCGCCTCAGCCTCTCCCTGCCTGTCTCAGGACTTAAGTCGCATGGACCCCACCACACACTCCACTTTCTCTCTCTTCTCCAGTGGAAGCGACTCCTCTTTCCCACTGGGGCACTCTGCCTTCTCAGCCCTCACCTGAGAGCCATGTTGCTCACACTCTCACTCTGGACCCCAGCAGAGCAGGGAGTGTGAAGATGGAGAGACCACTGGCAGCTCTGTTCTGCCACAGGCTGGGCCTCTTGATCTAGGCCAGTGAGTCACCCTGCTTGGCTGCACTCCCTGCCCCGCTCCCATCCTCTCAGTCCTTTACTCTCTCCACCCCCAGCTCCAGGAACAACGCCCAACTGGCCTCCTACTCAGCTGACAGGAATCTGGTTGGAGTTGTTGTGTCCCAGCCTTCCCAAGCTTCCAGGTGTCCCAGAAACCCAGGAAATCGAGACTCATGACTCCCAGAGAGGATGGCATCTAGAAGGTGAGGAATGCTAATGGTGGAAGAAAAGGAGTTTGGGTGGGGAGGGGAGGGGAGGGGAGGGAGAGAAAACACTGAGGGCCCTAAATAAGGGGAAGGGGGACCCCACGGTGAATGAGGAATGGGAAGAGAATGGATTTCCTGGAGCAATGAGAGAGGAGGGAAATGGCGGAAGGATCTGGGAGGCCAGGCAATCTCTGCTTTCAGTTCAACAAATATTTATTGTCTTCCTCCTCTGTGGGAGGAGCTGGAAGGTAGAAGAGAAACACAGCCCGCTTTTGAAGGAAAATGAGGGACACAGAGACCTCTAGAGGCGTAGGAAGAGCACCACCCAGACTCTCAGAGGAGACCCAGGACTCCAAGAAGGCAAAAAGTCTGCACCTAGTCCCCACAGTTTACTGAGCCATCTGTCCAGGATCCAGGGACAGCAGGGAGCCTGCTCCAACCTCTGAGGGTGCCCCAGTGTCTCCCTCACCCAGGGAATCATCTGGGCACTGAGGGAAATGGCCACAGGAAGGGGCTGAGATAAGGGCCTTGAGAGGCAATGGGTGTGTTGGGGACGGTGATCTAGGAGGGCGTGGTGAGCTCTGTAATGGAGGGTGGGGTGGAATTGGGAGCGAAAGCCCAGTGGCATATTGGGTGGGTTGACTAGATGTCGAAGAGAGGTCAGTGAAAAGTGGCCACTGTTTCCAGATGATGGTTTGACTTTGCTTTATTTGGTAAAGGGGAAGAGGAAGGTATAACTTCTTCAGGCGTCAGAGGTGCTCTGAGAGCATTTCAGGGGTTTCCCAGTTGAGAAGGTGATGGGGGTGTTACTCAATGGACCATTTCAACACAGTAGAGGGAATTGTAAGGGGTGGTGATCTGGCTGAGGGGCACTGTGGTGGAATGGGAATTTAAACAGTAGGAGAGAATCAAGAGAGGAGCTTTGAATCTACCATTTTGAGAAGAGGAAGGAGGAAGGGGTGATAAGAGAGAGTCTGCAACCTTAGGGTAGTAGAGAAAGCAGAACCACTCTTTTGGGAAGGAGGGAAACTGAGCTAACCCTATGCCTGGGCACTGGCCTTCTCCCATATGGGATATAGTGTATGTGCTTGTTTGTGCCCAAGGCATGCACACACACAACAGTTGACTTATGGACTGTCGAGTAACTCTCCTTGGGGTAGGAAAACTTCAGGGTCAGCTAGCTGGGGCCCCAGAGGCTTCACTTGGGCTAGGATATCCCGGATGGAGCGGCAGGGGATCTTTCCAGCACTGCTGGAGCCACAGGGCTTGGCACCAGCGGAGGGATCAGGATGGGGAGAGCCATCGGGGCCCCCAGTCAGTGTCAAGGAGGAGACAGACATGCAAGGGTGACCAGAAGAGCTGGACTTGCTGCCACAAGGCTGAAGGATGATTTTGCCACTCGATTGGGAACTGGAGCTGCTGCTGAAGGAGCCGGTGCCTGGTGGGGAGCAGGGGCTCTGGGAAGCACTGCCGCAGGGATGGTAGGGTGAACCGGAGCTGCTGGAAATGCTAGAACTGCTGGGGACTCGAGAACTGGAGGGAGAGCAGGGTCCCTTGGAGCCCGTGGAGCCGCCTCCACAGAGCTGGACCCCACCAGTCCCCACTGGCTGGAACGCAATGGCCGAGGAAGCTGCCGACTGGCTGGGGATGATGGGGTTGCTGGAGAAGTATTTGCCCTCAGAGATGGGGGGCCCAGCTGCAAAGGAAGGGACCCCTGGAGAGCCTTTCACAGGGTTCTCTTTGGTGAAGTAGCCCACAGGATAGATTTTACCCTTACTGTAGGTCATGCCTGGAACCAGATAACTGTCAGAGGAGCCACCCACCACCTCGTAGCCACCATAGGATTTGTCTACAGAGGTGATTGGGGGACAGGGCTTGCCTGGAAGGCCACCATTGCTACAGGGGGGACCTTGAACCACTCCAGGGGCACCAGAACCGTGCTGGTCCACCACCACCACCACAGGCCTCTGACCCCCTGACACAGAGTGGGAGCTGGGGATGTAGGGGCCAGAGTGCGAGACGATGGGCCCTCCACTGCAGGGAGAGTCGGGGATGTCCGAACTACAGGGACGCTGGTTGGAGCTGACGCTTTGGCCACTGCTGGATACCCCAGAGGTTTGGGAAGAGGAAGAGCTTTGTCCAGGCTGGGAAGGGTTTAGTATTCCGCGGTAAGAGTTGTCATTGGTTGGCAGAGCAGAGCCATTCCCTACTTGGAAGCTGCTGCTGCTGAACTGAAAGCTGCTGCTGCTGCTCGAATGAGAGCTGCTGCTTCCCGAGTGAGAGCCGCTGCTTCCCGAGTGAGAGCTGCTGCTCCCCAGCTGGGAGGAACCGGATGCACCTTGTAGACTAGAGCCAGATCCGGAGGAGTAGCTGACCTGGGAATACCCCGTTCCTGGCTTAAAAGATCCTGCAGAACCACCCTGGGCAATGCTGGATCCGCTGGAGCTACCACTGGAGCCACCACCAGAGCTTCTGGCACTGGAAATGGAGCTGCCAGAACTGCTGGAGCCACTGTAGCTACTGAAGCCGCTGGAGTCACCCTTCCCAGTGAGGCAGGGGTCGTTAGGGGAGGTGATACGCGTGGGGTCCTTACAGGGGTCTGAGAAGGTGCCAATGCTCTTAGCCAAGGTCCCTGTGGAGGAAAGCAGTGGTTAGTAAGGGCCAAAGAGGCTTGGCTTCCTCCCTCACCTTTCTGCCTTATCTCAGTAATCGGCCTCTCGGGTTTCTCCCAAGCAGAGCGCAGGGAGAGTTTAGGGATGGAGAAAGGAGGAAGAACTGGCTATTGTCTCTAAAGGATATTGAGGTGGCCGAATAAAGGCATTTCTTTGTTTGGGAAGGGTGGGCAAACACCAACCAGAAAAATAGAAAATTACGTGCCAAAGTGAGTGACCTCAAAGGAATACATTGAATATAAGAGGGGGCTGGGCACAGTGGCTCACGCCGGTAATCCCAGCACTTTGGGAGGCTGAGGTGGGAGGATTGCATGCGCCCCAGAGTTCAAGACCAGCCTGGGCAACATAGACCCCATCTGTATTTTGTTTTTTAATTAAAATTTTTTTAAAAAAGAAGAGGGAATGGAGAAGGGGCAGGAACAAATAGGTCTAAAAGAAAGGACCCTGAAGAGACAGAGAATTGGGGAAACTGAGGCTCTGAGGAGTCCAGGCGTAAATTCTTAGGGGAAAAATCCTGGGCCAGACAGTGGGACCAGAGGGAAGAAGACAAAAGGCAAAACAATGGAGGGCTGAGAAGTGGAGACACATATAGAAGGAGACACTGGAAAAAGACAAAGCTGGGGGCAGAGGGGCTGAAATAAAGGAAAGGGCACTCGAGGACTAAGATTTGGTCACCAGCTTCTTCGTGAGAGCCCAGGCTGGGGTCAGGAATGGAAACCCTATTTCCTATCTCAGCACTGGCCATGCCAGTAAAGCTGGGTGGGGGCCAGGATGTGGGGTCACTACCTGTTGCTTCAGAACCTGCTGGTACCAGTGTGTCAGGACACCGCACCCTGAGCCAGCCCTGCTCTCGCTGGCCCAGCCCAGGGAACCAGGACGAAACCCCACGAACCTCCGAGGCTCCTGGCCACAATCAGCTTCCCTCTCTGAGCACACCTGCCTCTGTCCAGCCCCTCATCTGACTTCTGCTGCCTTGACTTCCCTCAGGGATGTGGAGCCACATCTTTCCTTATCTTTCCTTTCCTTTGCTCAAAACCCCAGGCCCAACTTACCCCATGGTTCCTCCATGACTCTTTCACCTGCGTTCCTTCTGCCTTCCCTAGCCCCTCCAGGTCCCACGTGTTACAAACAGAGCCACATACTAGCAAGTTACTGAACCTCTCTGAGCTTTAGTTTATACATTCAGAGGGGCCAAATTTTCCCTGCCTTCCCACAGCATTACTATGAAGAAAACTAAATGAGATCATCCACCTGGAAGTTTTTTCTTCTTTTTTTTTTTTTTTTTTTTTTTTGTGAGATGGAGTTTCTTGTTGCCCAGGCTAAAGTGCAATAACACGGTCTCAGCTCACTGTAACCTCTGCCTCCTTGGTGCAAGCGATTCTCCTGCCTCAGCCTCCCAAGTAGCTGGGACCACAGGTGCCCGCCACCACACCCAGCTAATTTTTTGTATTTTTAGTAGAGAGGGGGTTTCACCATCTTGGCCAGGCTGGTCTTGAACTCCTGACCTCAGGCGATTCACCTGCCTTGGCCTCCTGAAGTGTTGGGATTACAGGCACAAGCTATCATGTGCGGCCAGATGTTTTAGAAAGTGTAAAGCATTATATATTATGAATTATTACTGCCACTCATCCTGATCCCTCCACCAACAACCAGACTGCCATCCTCTGTGATGTCCCTGTTCTCTCCTCAGAAAGAAATTCTCTGCATGCACCTCCACGCCGAACCCCAGCTGTGCCAATTCCCTTCAGTCCTCTGCACGAATCCACCATGCATTGCCTCTCTCTTTCGCTATTCCCTCAGACACCAACCACCCACTAGACCATGGGAAGGTCGCAGAAATTCCTCAAGGGCTATAAGTACCCGGTGGTCAACAACACAGGTCCAGGGGTTGCCTGGCCTGGGGTTGAAATCTTGGCTTTGCTGCCTTCTAATGCATGATTTTGAGCTAGTTTCCTAACCTCTCCGAGCCTCAGTGTCCTCATCTGTAGAGTGGAAATAGCAAATCTCTTTTCATACCGTTCTTGTAATGATCAAAAGTGCTAATATAGGCCGGGTGTGGTGGCTCATGCCTGTAATCCCAGCACCTTGGGAGGCCGAGGCGAGCGGATCACTTGAGTCAGGAGTTCAAGACCAGCTTGACCAAAATGGTAAAACCCTGTTTCTACTAAAAATACAAAAAAAAGAAAATTAGCCAGGTGTGGTGATGGGCACCTGTTGTCCCAGCTACTCTAGAGGCTGAGGCATGAGAGTCGCTTGAACCTGAGAGGTGGAAGTTGCAGTGAGCCGAGATTACGCCACTGCACTCCAGCCTTGGAGACAGAGTGGGACTCCATCTCACAAAAAAAATAAAAATAAAAGTTCTAATATATAATCCAAATGTGCTTAAAACAGAGTCTAGCATATAAAAAGGCTCTAAAAATGATATTATTACTATTAAATGTCCAATCATTATCTTGTAGTGCTCCCATAATAAAAATCACCACCACCATTTATATAAACCTCTAGAATTTCCAAAGTACATATCACATACATTATTTAATTTGAGACACACAGACTAGAGGTAGGTGTCATTAACCCCACTTCAGAATTTCAGAAACTGGGGCTCAGGAAGTTTAAGAAACTTACCTGAGGCGACCATACAGTGAGGAGCAACCCCCAGACTCAAAAGGCAGATTCCAGAGCCCCTGCCCGTCCCCTTCGCTGGGTCCTCTCCCGGAGTCTCCCTCCCGCCTCCCTCCTGTTCCCAGGGCCCCCAGCCTCCTACCTGGCAGGAGGAGACCAGCCAGCAGCAGTGCCATCATCCCGTGCCCACCCACACGCCCCATCCAGGGTGCCCGAGACGAGCCCATCTCGGGCTGCACGGCCTCCTGACTGATGGCAGCTCGAGGACACCTGGGTCCTTTATGCCAGAGCTGGACATTCCCTGGGCAGGAGTCACTGTGGGGAGAGGAGGAGAGGTGGAGGGGGTGGGTGCCCCGGGGGAAGTTGGTGTGGCCGGGAGGAGCGTGGTAATCAGCCCGGTGCATCTGCCTACTCAGCAGCAGCAGTGGCTGCAGTGTGGGGTACCCATGGCCACGGGGCTCTAACGATCCTGCCACCTGACAGGCCTGGCCCCGGCTCCTCATTGCCTAACCCGGAACCAGGCGCTCTGCCCCACGGCCACCCACTCTGGGGCGGCCACTCTTGCCACGGGACCCAGCTGCCTGGCTCCTTAACTCTCCTGCCTACCGTGGCTTGGCCTGTCTCTCCATCTGCCCTCCACTCGCAGTCGTGGGTGTTTCAGCTTTTTCTTCCACACTTGGGTGCCCGCTCCAGCCCCACCCACCCAACCCCAATGAGGTCCCATTCACAGCCCCTGATCTGCTCCTTCCTTAGGACCCCATCACTCCACCTCCACTTTCCTCCTTCAAATATGAGTTCTGCCCCCATCCCCCAGGCTCCCCCTCCCACCACTCCCCAAGTACCAGGCCAGCCACATACCTATTACGTGTTCCATCACCTGGGGAACCTTCTCCTTCTCAGAAATGGGGCACCACATTCCCAAAACCAACTCCCTGACCTGTCGCTTCTGGGGGCCTCTGGGGACGGCATGGTGGCGGGGGTGGGGGGGGGTGCTGGGAGCCAGGGCTCAGCCATGGGAGGGGCCTGGGCTGATGACCTCTGTCAAAGCTGGGCCTTGGTTACTCACAGGCCACTCACAGCCCCTCCCCATGGCTGGTAACCCAGACCTCAAGGGTGAGCAAGAGGCTAAGAAGGCTAATTGGGAAGGTGGTGGCCCCGTAGCCCATCTGCTGGCCCTGGGCTGGATGAGCGAGCAGGAAGCAGCAGCCAGCTCTGGGCAGGTCGAGGAGGGCCAGGCAGGCTCCCGGGTCCTCAAAGGATGAAAGGAGGCCAGGAGAACCGGAGCCCTGCCATCTGCTGAGAGGGTGGTGGCTTCTCCTCCATTGCGTTGGCCTCCCTCCTGCTCTGGCCCCTGCCCCGCCCCAGCCAATTAATTGCTCACTAGTATTGCGGGAGTATCAGTATCGGAGGGAGGTGCCTGCAAGTCCAGCAAGCTGCCCTCTCCTCCCCCAGGCCTCAGACACCCCTGCTCCCCTCACCCAAACTCACTTCCCAAACCTCATCTCCTCACAAAGGCAGCTCTGTCCCTGGGCCCCTTGGGCTGGTCTCTCCCATTCCCTCTACCTCCTGACCGCCCTTTAAGTTCAGACCAGCAGGAGGATGGAAATGTTTCCTGTCTGTGCTGTCCGATACGGTAGCCACTGGCCACATGGAGCAAGTTTAACCACCAAAGATTTGGAGCTTTAATTTTAATTAATTGTAATGATGTGGTTGGCCACGTGCAGCTAGTGGCTGCCATCTAGTCTTGCTCTTGACTTGCTAGTGACACTCAGAATGGGAGTGGGAGGAAAGAGGGGCTGAGGGAGCTGTGGAGAGAGGAAGGGATAGGACAGGGTCCCCTGAAGGGGGCTAATGCCTTGGGAAAAACAAACAAACAAAAAACACTGGCTTCAGAATGAAGATGACGTGGGTTCAAGTCCCAGCTAACCTCTTGGCTTTGGGCGGCTCTTCAAACCTTTCTGAACTTCCATCTCCTCATCTGTGAAATGGGGGTATTTTAAATAACACTTATTTCGCAAGGTTTTTGTGAACATCAAATGGGAAATTATCAAAAAGGTTAAATGGGACAAGGGGTGCAGTCCCCCAGTAGGAAGCCCAGCAAATGGAGCCCTGCAGGTGCTCCTGTCTTCATCCTTCCACTGGGGGAGACAAATAGGCCAGCTTCACCCCCACAGCCCCAGGCTCCCTTTCCTGAGTCTCCAGCCCAGCCAATGCTAGCAGAGTGTCTTCTGCTCCCTTCCTGCCTTGTATAGAGGTGCAGGCACAAATGTGAGACAGAGATACCATTTAAAGTGATGCTGCTCGGCTGGGCACGGTGGCTCACGCTTGTAATCCCAGCACTATGGGAGGCCGATGCGGGCGGATCACTTGAGGCCAGGAGTTCGAGATCAGCCTGGCCAACATGGCGAAACCCCGTCTCTACCAAAAATACAAAAAAATTAGCCAGGCGTGGTGGTGGGCGCCTGTAATCCCTGCTACTCGGGAGGCTGAGGCAGGAGAATCACTTGAACCCTGGAGGCAGAGGTTGCAGTGAGCCAAGATTGCACCATTGCACTCCAGCCTGGGTGACAAAAGGGAAACTCCATCTCAAAAAATAAAGTGATGCTGCTCTTTCCGAACATCATTTCCTCTTGTGGGCCTCCCTAGACTCTCAGGCTTGGCTCCCTGGAGGACCTGGGCAAGGAGGGAGGGGGCACTGGGGTAGTGAGGGGAGTGGCAGAGGGCAGGGAGGAGTGGACTAGAAGGTGCTGGGCCGTCCCAGGGTGTGAGGGGAGAAGGCAGCGGAACAGTGGAATCTGTGGCTTCTTCTTTTCCAACACAAACTTCCCCTGACCAGCCAGAGGTAGCAAAGTTTGTCTTGTTTTCTTTCTCACAGTCCTCCTGGCTGCCATCAGAACTTGGCCAAGACAGCCAGGCTGGAGGAGGCACAGTCTCTCCTGGCCTCCTGCCAGGTCTCCAGCCGCCCACGTGGACTGGTGGTGCAGCCACGTCCCTCCTCCTGGCTACTCTCTCCTGTCCACTCCTGTCCACCCCATCCTGCCACCCTGGGCTGCCCAGTTCCTCTACTGTCCTGCCCACCTGTGGGCCCTTGAGCTCTAATCTGCCATGCTTTTGGTTTTTTACTGAAACCCTGCCTTCTGTGCTAGATTTTACTCTGGTGCTCACCATTAATCTTTCTCTCAGTGCAGGTGGTGAAGACCTAAAGCTAATGGGGCTTAGGAGGGAAGAGAAGGGCATCAGCTGAGTGCCCACACAGGCCAGGGTCACCTTCAGTGAAGCTGCCAGTTTGGTGACGTCCACAGTACTGCAGGCAGCTCTGCTGTGTTCTACAGCAACAGATTCTGGCCCTGCCCCTGCCCGTGCCCGTGCATTGGACCGGGTGAGAAAGTGTGGGTGGCGTAGACACTCTACACCCGAGAAAATCAAGCTCAAAGCACATGGCTTCCATAGGCAAAAGGTGGGGCTCCCAGCCATGTATTATGAAGCAGGCAGGTCACTGTCCCCTCCGGTCCCCTCCACCCCTCCAGCAGCCCTGTGCTGCTGTGTTTGCTGTGCCAGCCTTTGCCCCCAGTGCACGCTCCTCTGCTGTGTTTTGGAAGTTGCACTGAGAAAGAAGAGAAATTGTTCCTTGCCCTGAGGAGCTGCCATCCAGCTGGGGACACACAGCGTAAGAGAGCAGCCTAGAGTGGAGAAGCGGGTAGGCACTTGGCTTCAGGGAGGTGGCAGGACTTTCCCCGGGCCTTGAGGAATGATGAGAGAAGCACAGAGCAGGCAGCCAGACGTGGGGCCTTGTGGTGCTTCAGGTGTATTTAGAACCAGCGGATGGCGTGGGTTGGTGTGGGACATGCATGTGGAGGACAGTGGTGTGGGAGAAGGGACAGGCTGCTTGGATCGGGATTGTAGATGACCTACAACACCAGGTTAAAAGAATTTGGATTCTATAGGAATTGCAGTAAATGTGAGAGGGTGCAGGGAACCAAACGGCTTTGAATGATCACAAAGGGGGCTGAAGCATGGCGTGCTGTAGTCCCAGCTACCCAGGAGGTGGAGGTGGGAGGAATCCGAGGCCAGCTGGGGCAACTTGAGGGACTCCATAAAGAGGAGGCTTGGGGCACGAGATCCACCATGTACTGACTGCCTGCTGCAGGCGGACACGGTGCCTGGGTATTTAACATGAGTTGTCTTGTTCAATCTTCACAACAGCCCTACAGGGTAAGTGCTTTTTCCCCCTGTTTCACAGATGAGAAAACTAAGTTGAAATTATTTGTCCAAACCAGCTGCTAACAAGCAAAAATGTTTGAAAAAGATTCAAACCCAGGCCTGTTGGACTTCCAGGCCCACATAGATCCTATTACTCTGCAGCTGACACCATGCTATAAATGAATGGCAGAGGTTCATGGACAGGCTTAAGAGGCTCCCTAAACCCTGTAAGGATGTGTGCAAAATTCCTTATGTATATGAATATTTCTAGAGAGAAGATTTCTGCTGTCAAAGCTGGCCAGGTATGGTGGCTCACGCCTGTAATCCCAGCACTCTGGGAGGCCAAGGCAGGTGGATCACTTGAGCTCAGGAGTTTGAGACCAGCCTGGCCAACATGGCAAAACCATCTCTACTAAAAATACAAAAATTAGCCGGGTGCGGGGGCAGGCACCTGTAATCCCAGCTACTCAGGAGGCTGAGGCAGGAGAATCATTTGAACCAGCGAGGCGGAGGCTGCAGTGAGCCGATTTCATGCCACTGCACTCCAGCCTGGGTGACAGAGTGAGACTCCGTCTCAAAAAAAAAAAAGTGAAGAGTTCCTAAGTGAAGGTTACTGGCTCATGAGGTCCCTCCTCCACAGCTTTCCTCCTCTGGGGGCCTGAGAGTCAGGACAGAAGTTCTAGCACAAGTGTTTCACATAGGGGTCCTTGGTAGACCAGGGCTTAGGCTTGGAAGAAGGAAAATGGAGTGAGCACGAGGAAGAGAAAAAGCCTGGAAAAGCAGCTTATTTTGTGCTGAGGAGAGAAGGAAAGGGGCCACCCAGAGCTGCTCTGGGGCTCCAGGGCCTGTGGGCTCCTCCCCTCCTTTGTTCCTCTCTGCTTGGCTCCAGCGAGAGGCCATTTCCTCTCCTCTCTCTTTCTCCATGACACCCACGCTTCCCTGTGGACTCACCTCTGCAGCCACAGCAACACCCTCCTCTCCTTGGCGTGGAAGCCAGCGCTCCTGGCCCACTCCCAGTAGGGGATGTCCTCTGAGTTGTTTTTCCTGTGCGGGGAGGGGTGGACTGAGTCATCCACACTCTTCACCTGGTTCCTCTGGTGACCAAGAACATAGAAGGAGAGGGCACATCCCCAATCAGGTGTTCCGAACATCTCTGCGGGGACTGACCCTCCTCAGCCCAGGTGCTCCCATGGGACTGGCTACACTTCTTGACTCAGTTTTAATCTCTCCTTCTCTGCCTTCCTGTTGGGAATACCCCCTCACTTCTGTGGCTTCTTTCCTGTAGTAGACGATCAAGGGTGGAATCTACAGTCCATGGGCCCTGACTTCTTGCCTTCGTCTCAAATAGACTCTGCAGCCAGCCATCTATGCAGCGCCCCAGTGGCTTTGAAATGCAACAGAAACCATCACCCCCGGACCGTGGGCTCCATGCCAGTGGGCAAAGCACAGGTGCGTTCACTGAGTTCCCAGCACATAGCTGTGGCAGGCACTTGGTGATATTTTGAAATAAAAGAATGGAAGAATGTGTCCAGGCTGTGCTTCCCCTTTCTACCTTACTCAGGGACATGGTGCCCTCCTCTCTGGTTTCCTGCCCTGTGCCCACCCCCCACCCCCTGCAAGCACAGCTCTTATGTGCAAAGCCCCTGTAGGTGCTGGAGGGATTCACTGATGGCCTTGGCGGAGGTGGCAGTGGGCATGTGCACTTGGCTCTGACACAGCCACTCATGCAACACCCTGTGCAATCTCGGCCTGGGCCTGTGTGTCCTGCCCTCATTCCTCGCGGGTGACTGTCTCCCCTGAGCCACTCTTCTCTCTATTGGATTAGCTCCTTTTATTTCCCCCTAGGGATGCAACACATTTTTATGAACAAACAGCAGTGTTCACATGGCTGTGATGAGGACGTACTGGGGTTTCCCCTGGACATGGCATTCATCTGATGCCAGTGGTGGGCAGGACCGTGCTGTATACTTTAAAAAAACCCTAGGGGGTTCTGTTAGGTGCCCCCACTGCAGCATAACGAGTTGCCCCTAGCTGAGAAGCCCTGTCCTGGGGCCTGTCCACACCATCCTCTTCCTGAGATTATTCCTGGTGTGGGCGGTGCTCGGCTCTACCTTTCCTTCCTTCTTCCCTGCTTGGCTCCTGGTCCAATGGCTCTCTCCTCTATGGAATGGCCTCCTGGAGCTTGGCTGGGTCAGCCCCCACTTTCCACTCTTCCCATGCCTGTCCTCACCCTCCCAGCAGCCCTGCCAGCCTCCGACGGGCCCAGGGCACTGCAGCCGGCACTTGGGAGTGAAGACTGGGGCCAGAGCCAGGCTCACCTTTGGCCACTGAATCCTGAAAGAGGAGGAATTTGGCAAGTGGGGTTCTGCCCACCAAGCTTTCTTCCCCCCGCTCCCCTGAGTCTTTTCCCTTCACCCCCACTTCCCAAAAGCAGCAGGGAGTCAGCTGTAGGGCAGTCGCTCCCTGGCCGAAGCCTTCCTGGCTGTTTCCGTCACACCCTGAGGCCACCCCTCTTATCTTGCGAGGAGGGAGGCACACAGAGGCTGTGATTAGCTGTCACAGTAGCAAGACTGTTCCCCTCTCTGTCCTGCGGAGTGAGTGTGAGGGAAAAGAGCTCTCCTTGTCTGCTCATTATGTGCACCTGTTAAATAGTCATTCTTTCCACTAGGGCTATTAGTGGTTTTTATTGTTACTGGTCACCCAGAATTAGAGTCACAGCTTCCTCGACAGGGTGAAAGAGAGCGCCAGGGTGCAGTCTGAACGTGCTCTCGGGAGAGGAGAGGCCGGAAAGACTTGTACCAGGAGGGACTTCTAGGCTGGGCTGGCCCTTGGAGCGCCTAGGAATGGGACTGTGGTGGCCCATCTTCCCTCCTGTGTTCTGGGCTGTCTGAGTGCCTCTGGGTGAGAGTCCTCACAGGAGGGAGCTTCTCCTACTGCCCAGTGTCTCCCTGGCACCTGAGGCATCACCCAGCACACAGAGGTGACCAGGAAACACAGACTCCTGTTAGAGAGGCATCTCGTGTCCCGCTCTGTTCTCTTGGGCCCTGGGACTAGAACATCTTCACCAGAGACCGGCGCCGACTCCTTGGCAGTGTGTAACATTCAGCTCGGTGCCGAGGTCTGCCCGTGCAGGACTGATCTCCATTCTCTCAATGACCCTAGGAGACAGGAATTATTATTATTATTATTATTATTATTATTATTATTATTATTTTGAGATGGAGTTTCGCTCGTAGCCCAGCCTGGCCAACATGATGAAACCCCATCTCTACTAAAAATACAAAAATTAGCCGGGTGTGGTGGTGAACACTTGTAATCCCAGCTACCCGGGAGGCTGAGACAGGAGAATCACTTGAACCCGGGAGGTAGAGGTTGCAGTGAGCTGAGATCGCACCACTGCACTCCAGCCTGGGCGACAAGAGCGAAACTCTGTCTCAAAAAAACACACATACACACACACGTTTGGGACCATCCCTATTTCCTCGCTCTGCCTAAGCTGCGTCACACCATTCATCACTAGGTGACATCCTACTACAGATACCTTGTAAGCATCTGTGTATCTCTCTCCTCCCTCACTGGAAGGCAGCTCCCTGAGGGCAGGGCCCTGATCCCTTTGACTGGCTGTGGTATCCTCTCCTGTAGACCGCTGGCTCATGAAATAATCAGGGAGAGAATGTGTAAATGATGATCGTGAGGTCCACTTGGACAAGCAGCCTGTGCCTGAATTTTCCTGAGGGCTTCAGAGCCTGTCTCGCCTCGCCTCACATGCCTGGCTCACCTTAGAACGGTCACCTTGACGGCTAAAGGGACACCTGTGTGCCTTGATGGTGGACCCAGGGAGTGGATGACATTAGTGAGGGAAAGAGCAAAGGCTCTGGAGGAAAACACCTGAGAGGAGTCTCTAGGCTGCCCTCTGGTGGCAGTTCTTGGAACAAGACCTGAGAGCCGCTACCTTGGCTCTCAGCATTGCACGGGAGTTTAGAGGTTATTAAAGAAATCCCCCTAAAGTCCCATCCCAAGGTCACATACAGAATGAATGGCTAAGTAGCGACAAGAACCCAAGTCACAGTCTGTTGATCTCACTACCATGCTATCCTGCCTGCCCCCATCACAGGAGTTGAGATTATACTGCAAAAGGAAAGGTGGGGATGGGGTGGGGACTGGGGAATTTGGGGAGGGAATTGATTACTGCCTCTGAGGATATTAGGGGGAAAAACCCACAGGAGGTGCATTTGGCTTAATTCAGCAAGTTTTTTGAGTTTTGATTCAGTGCCAGGCACCTGGTGGGCACTTAATTAAAGATTAGCAGGAGAAGAAAAATGTACAGTAAGAGAGCTTAAGTTTATACCAAAGCGAGTCTTGGGTCTAATAATTTTGAAACATGAAATTGGCAGAGAAGTTAGGAGTCCCTCCTGGGCTCCTACGTCAGGGTTTGCCCCCTCTCTAATTTAACTTTTTATCAAATTTTATTGTCATGATGTATATGTTTGTCCTCCCTAAACACAGAGCCCCTTGAGGGCAGGGAGGACTGAAACTGCTTCCTGGGACTGTCACCATCACATAGCACCCCACAGAGCAGATGCTCAATGAATGTTGATTGTGTGGGCAAATGGATGAACAAATGAATGGTTTGGAGTTTCCCTGGCCAGAGAGCTTCAAAGCAGGGCAGACAACCATCTCTTCTGTCTAGTCCAAAGACATCATTCGCTGCCCAAGGCTCAGGGCTGTGCCTGGTGCTTTCTCAAGGTAACTTAGCTTGTATAATTAGATTTTACCGTGATACTAGTTCTAGGTTCTTTTTTTTTCATTGGCCAAGCATTTAATAACTATCTGTCATGTCCAAGGTTCTGGGCTATTGTTCTGTAAATCTGTGATCCTATTCTGTTATTTAATTCCGTGACTCTGTGTTGACATAGACGTGACGGTGTCCCTGGGGCATTTACTCCTAGGTGAGCTTAGCCAAGGCAGGTAGAGAGGAACCAGCATTGTCTAATCTGAATGGATAAGCCAGCACAATGGGTTTCCCTGTGCAAATACCTCCATACCATCCAGGCCCACTCAGTCTCCTCCCCAGCTAATGAAGACAGCCTGTTTGAGTGCCAAAATCCACTGCCTATTAATAGGTACTAAAATCTCCAATTGCCTTATGCCTCCCCCTTCTCTTTCCCACTCACCTACCTGCCATGTCAGCCTGGGAAGAATTGGTTTGCAGCCAGGCAGTCCTCCATCCAGTCTTGACTTTGGCACTTGTGATATGACTTGCACAGGTGAGTTACCTCTCTCAGTGTTGGTTCCTCGTCTGTGAAATGGGGCTAATCATTTGCTTTATTGAGTGCCTTCTAGGCTGGGTACTAGGAGAGAAGGAAGGGATACAAAGAAAGACAAGGCACAGTTGCTGTCTTCAAGAAGCTCATACTTTCCAAGGAAATAAAGGCATGGAAACCCACATAGTGCTGTGGAATTAAAGAAGGCAGCATGCTGTAAAGAGCCCCAGCTTTTTCCCTAGACAACATCAGGGGCTCAGTTCCTTTCCCTCCTTTCTCTCTTCTTTAAGAATTTCTCTTAGCTGGACATGGTGGCACATGCCTGTGGTCCCAGCTACTCAGGACGCTGTGGTAGGAGGATCCCTTGAGCCCAGGAGGTCAAGGCTGCAGTGAGCTGTAACTGCACCTCTGCACTGTCCAGCCTGGGCGACAGAGCAAGAACCTGTCTCAAAAAATAAAAAAATAATTAATTAATTAATTTTTTTTCCTCCTAACTAATTCCACGTTATTGGCTTGAGGGTCAGTTTGAGGGGTCCAGACCTCCTTCTTCCTTTCTATCCTTAGCTTCCTGCCACAGTATACCCAGAGATGTATGTGTTTCTCCCCACCCTAGGCACAATTTTTTTTTTTTTTCTGAGACAGCTCTGTCATCCAAGCTGGAGTGCAGTGGTGCAATCATATCTCACTCCAGCTTCAACCTCTCATGCTCAGGTGATCTTCCTGCTGAGTAGCTGGGACTACAGGCATGCACTACCATGGCCTGGCTAATTGTTTGTTTTTTTTTTTGAGATGGAGTCTCACTCTGTCGTCCAGGCTGGAGTGCAGTGGTGCGACCTCGGCTCACTGCAACGTCCGCCTCCCGGGTTCACGCCATTCTCCTACCTCAGCCTCCCGAGTAGCTGGGACTACAGGCGCCCGCCACCTCTCCCGGCTAATTTTTTTTGTATTTTTAGTAGAGACGGGGTTTCACCGTGGTCTCGATCTCCTGACCTCGCGATCCGCCCACCTCGGCCTCCCAAAGTGCTGGGATTACAAGCGTGAGCCACTGCGCCTGGCAACCTGGCCAAATGTTAAACATTTTTTTTGTAGAGGTGAGGTCACACTATGTTGCCCACACTGGTATCAAACTCCTGAGCTCAAGCGATCCTCCTGCCTTGGCCTCCCAAAGTGCTAGGATTACAGGTGTGAGCCACTGTGCCTGGCCCTTTTTTAATTTTAATTTTTTTTTTTTTTAGAGATGGGGTCTTGCTGTGTTGCCCAGGCTGGCTTTGACCTCCTGAGCTCAAGCAATCTTCCACCTCAGCCTCTGGAATAGCTGGGATTACAGGTGCGCCCTACCATGTTCAGCTAACTTATTTTGTTTGTTCAGAGACAGGGTCTTGTTATGTTGCCCAGGCCCAGGCACAGTTCTAATAGAGGAGAGAGACTTTCAGATATGAGCTCCTGCACTTGGCACCAAGATCTTCCCTAATTTTCCCCCGACCTGTCTCTCCAACATGTCTCTCTCTTCTTCGGGTTATTTTACTCCAATCATTCCGATCTACTCTTTGTTAATTGGGCCCTTCATTAAATAATTTAGCCTTTCACAAAACACACATTAAGTGTGCATGACGGCCCAGGCACTGTATTCTCTGTCAGGGTTACACAGATGAATAAAGAGCTGGGATGGGCCAGGCGCGGTGGCTTATGCTTGTAATCCCAGCACTTTGGGAAGCCAAGGCTGGTGGATCACGAGGTCGGGAGTTCAAGACCAGCCTGGCCAACATGGTGAAACCCCGTGTCTACTAAAAAAAAACTACAAAAATTAGCCAGGTATGGTGGCGGGTGCCTGTAATCCCAGCCATGTGGGAGGCTGAGGCAGGAGAATTGCTTTAACCCAGGAGGCGGAGGTTGCAGTGAGCCAAGATCGTGCCATTGCACTCTAGCCTGGGTGAAAAGAGCAAGACTCCGTCTCAAAAAAAAAAAAAAAAAAAAAAAAGAGCTGGGATGATGTAGTGGTTAAAATCAGTGTTGTTAGCATAGCACAGACCTAAATTGAAATCCCAGTTCTGCCATTTGTCCCCTGTGTGACCTTGCATGGGTCACTGTACCTCTCTAGGCCTGTTTCTGTCTTCTGTGAAATGATCATGATAGCATTGTTATGCAAATTAAACGAGAGCTTAAGCTGTAGAGCATTTACCAACAGTGCCCTATGGCACATGCGCAGTAGAAAGTAGTTGCAATAGTGTGTAGCAAATACTTTGCATCCTAGGTTGGATTCCCCAGAAGCAGGCCCTGAGACAAAGATTCAAGTAAAAGAGATTTATTTAAAACTAATGAGAAGTTGGGCAGGGTGGCTCACGCCTATAATCCCAACACTTTGAGAGGCGGAGGCAGGAGGGTTTCTTGAGCTCAGGAGTTTGAGACCAGGTTGGGCAATATAGTAAGACCCAATCTCTACAAAAAAAATTAGCCAGACGTGGTGGCATGCGCCTGTGATCCAGCTACTTGGGAGGCTTAGGTGGGAGGATCGCTTAGGTCCAGGCTTCAGTGAGCTGTGATCGTGCCACTGTACTCCAGCCTGGGCAACAGAGTGAGAACTGTCTCAAAAATAAATAGGCCAGGCACAGTGGCTCATGCCTGTAATCTCGACACTTTGGGAGGCCAAGGCGGGCAGATCACCTGAGGTCAGGAGTTTGAGACCAGCCTGGCCAACATGGTGAAACCCTGTTTCTACTAAAAATACAAAAATTAGCTGGGCATAGTGGCGCATGCCTGTAATCCCAGCTACTCAGGAAGCAGAGGCAGGAGAATCGCTTGAACTCAGGAGGCGGAGATTGCAGTGGGCTGAGATCACACCACTGCATTCCAGTCTGGGCAACGAGAGGGAGACTCCGTCTCAAAAATTGAATAAATAAATAAATAAATAAATAAAAGTAATGAGGGGACTGGGCATGATGGCTCACACCTGTAATCCCAGTGCTTTGGGAGGCCAAGGCAGGAAGATTGCTTGAGTCCAGGAGTTCCAGACCAGCCTGGGCAACATGGCAAGACATCATTTCTGCAAGAAATTAAAAAATTAGCCCAGTGAGTGGAGTGCATCTATAGTACCAGCTACTCAGAAGGCTGAGGCAGGAGGACCACTTGAGCCCAGGAGGTTGAGACTGCAATGAGTTATGATTGTGCCACTGCACTTTAGCCTGGGTGACAGAGTGAGACCCTGTCTTAAAAAAAAAAAAAAGTAATGAGGGTGGGGAGGAGTGGAAAGGGAGTGGGAAAGTGGGACCCAAGCACATGAGTGGAACCAAGCTAAGTCTCATGGAGGGCTGGGGTACTGACACCTTCATATTTGTCCACCGTTGGTTAAGGCCTGGGGGCGGGCTGGGGGAGTGGGAGGGTGGTGGCATGTGAGGATGTGGGAGAGAAAAATTTCCAAGTGCTTCCAGCTCTCTGCCCCTGGAAAAGGTCCCGGCAGAGGCATAGGCGGGGCTGTTGGGAGTGATTTAGCACTCTGGGAGTCCGTAGGCACAAAAATGGTAAAGGGGTTCAAGAAGAAATGCGTAGAACACAGTCCCTGCCCCACAAGGTTCATGGCCTGGGAAGGGAAGACAGACATGAATAAATCATTGCCATAGGGTGACTGGGGTGAAGGGCGTTGGGGGTCGGGTGGGGTGCGGGAAGGAGTGGTGTAGGCAGAGGCATCCCTGAGGAGAAATGCAGCTGGTTTGGGAGAGGACGGCCATTCCAGACATAGGGAACAGCACACACGAAGGCTGATGCACATACGCGCAAGGGCTGGTCCCTAGAGCTGGTGGTTCTGGCCACGAGAGCTCATCACCTGGGGGCAGCTTCTGTACCTGCACCCTGTATGAGGCTCCGGGTCTGCCCTTCCTGGTCCATCCTCCAGACACACTGCCTGTTCTTCTCTCAGGTCCCGCTCCGGGCCCTCCTCCCAGAAGCCTCCCCTGACTAGTCCAGCTCACCGTGACTCTTCTGAACTCACGGCGTTTACTGCCAAGGCTATTACATTGGCGCTCGCTCATGTCATTATTAGGAAATATGCATTTTTACTGTCTTTGATGTTATTTAAACTTGCCTGTAAATTCTGTCTCTCTCAATTTTAAGTTCTGAGTAGAAACTACATATTTTTATTATTTATATTCTTATATTCTCCCATGGCACCCGGCATTCGTGGACACATTGAGGAAGTAAGATAATGAATGAATGAATGGGTGAATCCAGTCCAGCTTGGGGCCTATTTAATTCTACTAGGCTCAACCTACAATTCTTATGTGTTCTCAGATTATTCCTAAACCCTAAGCTTAGTTTTGTTTCATTCGGACCACATGTAGTTTTTTTTTGTTTTTTGTTTTCTGAGACGGGGTCTTGCTCTGTCGCCCAGGCTGCAGTGCAGTGGCACGATCTTGGCTCACCGCAACCTCTGCCTCCCAGGTTCAATGGATTCTCCTGCCTCAGCCTCCTGAGAAGCTGGGATTACAGGCGCCCGCCACCATGCCCAGCTAATTTTTTTGTATTTTTAGTAGAGACAGGGATTCACCATGTTGGTGAGGCTGGTCTCGAACTCCTGACCTCAGGTAATCCACCCGCCTCAGCCTCCCAAAGTGCTAGGATTACAGGTGTGAGCCACCACGCCTGATCTCATGTGTAGTTTTTTGGTTTTTTATTTGTTTGTTTTTTTGAGATGGAGTCTCGCTCTGTCGCCCAGGCTGGAGTGCAGTGGCACAATCTCGGCTCACTGCAAGCTCCACCTCCCAGGTTCACGCCATTCTCCTGTCTCAGCCTCCCGAGTAGCTGGGACTACAGGCGCCGGCCACCATGCCCAGCTAATTTTTTTTGTATTTTTTAGTAGAGACTGGGTTTCACCATGTTAGCCAGGATGGTCTCGATCTCCTGACCTCGTGATTCGCCCGCCTTGGCCTCCCGAAGTGCTGGGATTACAGGCGTGAGCCACCGCGCCCGGCCTCTCATATGTAGTTTTTAATGAGAGTTACCACATAAGCAAACTGGGTTCTAAGTGGTGAAATTTAAGGTTATGCAACCTCAGTTTCTTTTAACCCCTCTTCATCCCTAACCCTGGTCGGATACTTGATTGACAGTAGACCATTGGGATCTCTGAGCTCCTGTCCTTCTAACCTGATTGCCTCTTTAAAGGATTTTGAAAAACTATGTCCCTTGCACATTTGTATTGTTTTGAGACACGGTCTCACTCTGTTGCCCAGACTGGAGTGCAGTGGTGCCATCTTGGCTCACTACAGCCTCAACCTCCCAGGGTCAAGCAATCTTCCCACCTCAGCCTCCTGAGTAGCTGGGACTACAGGTGCGGGCCACCACATCTGGCTAATTTCTTAAATTTTCTGTAGAGACAGTTTTGCCATGTTGCCTAGGCTGGTCTCAAACTCCTGGCCACAAGCAATCCACCCGATTCGGCCTCCCGAAGTGCTGGTATTACAGGCATGAGCCACCTCGCCCAGCCCCTTGCACATTTTTAAGTCAACATTTAACATTTGTAATAATTTAATAGCATTCCAAAGGGTAGGCTTTTCAGGGAATTGCAAATACATGTTAAAAATCACATCACTATTTATGTATTTATTTATTTATTTATTATTTTTGAGATGGAGTCTCACTCTGTCTCCCAGGCTGGAGTGCAGTGGTGCGATCTCGGCTCACTGCAACCTCTGCCTCCCAGGTTCAAGCAATCCTCATGCCCTAGCTTCCCGAGTAGCTGGGATGCCCAGCTAAGTTTTTTGTATTTTTAGTAGAGACAGAGTTTCACCATTGTCCAGGCTGGTCTTGAATTGCTGACCTCAAGTGATCTGCCTACCTCAGCCTCCCAAATGCTGGGATTACAGTCGTGAGCCACCATGCCTGGCCATGTCAGTTTTTAAAATTAAAAACAATTTGTTGTGCTCAGTCTGTCGGAGACTGCACGTCACTCTAAGTGTAGCAAATTGAATATAATGCCATAGAACTTTCATATCTGTTAGCATCCTTTTAAAAAATACGTGAACAAGCCCTTGAACAAGTGTTAGAAACAGTTATTCTATTTGTATTGCAATTATTGCAGTTAACCAAAACTAGGAATATTCACAAGGATTAAACATAAAAAGTTGGTCAGGCGCGGTGGCTCGTGCCTGTAATCTCAGCACTTTGGGAGGCCAAGATGGGCCGATCACTTGAGCTCTGGAGTTTGAGACAAGCCCGGGCAACACGGTAAAACCCCATCTCTAAAAACGAAACAAAACTAAACTAAACAAATACAAAAAATTAGTCAGGGGTGGTGCACCTGTAGTCTCAGCTACGCCAGAGGCTGAGATAGGAGGATTGCTTGAGCCCAGGAGGTTGAAGCTATACGAGCCATGATCGTGCCACTGCACTCCAGCCTGGATGACAGATGGAGACCCTGTCTCAAACAAACACACAAAAAGACATGAAAAGTAACTTATTGAAAATGCATCTCTTGGCCAGGCGTGGTGGTTTACACCTGTAATCCTAGCACTTTGGGAGGCCAAGGCAAGCAGATCCCATGAGATCAGGAATTCGAGACCAGCCTGGCCAACATGGCAAAATCCCATCTCTACTAAAAATAGAAAACTTATCTGGGTGTGGTGGCACACACCTGTAATCCCAGCTACTCGGGAGGTTGAGGCAGGAGAATCACTTGAATCCAGGAGGCGAAGCTTGCAGTGAGCTGATATCTGTCGTGCCACTGCACTCCAGCCTGGGCGACAGAGAGATAATACGTCTCAAAAAAAAAAAAAAAAGAAAAGAAAGAAAATGAATCTCTTAATGAGATGGGAAAGGTTGATTTGTTTCCTATTGACCTTTGGCGGCTCTGGGAAGGGCACTCTGGTCAGGCCCAGGACAAGCAGGAGATTCATTCTAGCGGGGGGCACATATTAATCTGGAAACTGATTCCCTTAAAACTGGTCCTGCCGACACACCCCTGGGAAGGTTTGCATATACCACTAGGGGTATCCAAGCCATAGGCCATTAAACAGAGATGAAACTTGCCTTCCCATTCTTTAATATAGTGTTCTCAGAAAGGGAGAAATGTGGGCCTGAATGTTATTGTGACTTGCATAGTGACATTTCCAACCCTCCTCCTGCTAAGCCCCAGAGCCTTACATGCTGGACATGGGCAAGATAGGAACTCAAGTTACTTCCAGGTCTCCGTAAGTTTAGGACTGTGAAGAGGGCATCCTAATAGTCAAAAACATAAGTGTTGGCCGGGCACGGTGGCTCACGCCTGTAATCCCAGCCCTTTGGGAGGCCGAGGCGGGGAGATCACGATGTCAGGAGTTCGAGACCAGCCTGGCCAACATGGTGAAACCCCATCTCTACTAAAATACAAAAATTAGCCGGGCATGGTGGTGCGCACCTGTAATCCCAGCTACTCAGAAGGCTGAGGCAGGAGAATGGCTTGAACCCGGGAGCCGGAGGTTGCAGTGAGCCGAGATCGTGCCATTGCACTCCAGCCTGGGCATAGAGTGAGACTCCATCTAAAAAAAAAAGAAAGAAAAAGAAGAAAGAAGCCGGGCGCTGTGGCTCACGCGTGTAATCCCAGCACTTTGGGAGGCCCAGGCGGGCAGATCACGAGGTCAGGAGATCGAGACCACTCTGGCTAACACGGTGAAACCCCGCCTCTACTAAAAAATACAAAAAATTAGCCTGGCGTGGTGGCGGGCGCCTGTAGTCCCAGCTACTCGGGAGGCTGAGGCAGAATAGCGTGAACCCGGGAGGCGGAGCTTGCAGTGAGCCGAGATCGTGCCACTGTACTCCAGCCTGGGCGACAGAGCGAGACTTCGTCTCAAAAAAAGAAAAAAACAAATAAATAAAAATAAATGAAAAAGACCCTAAGTGTTAGTTAAAGCAGCAGCCTAGATTCAGAGTTAAGAAAACATGATTTTTATTTTTCCGTTTCATGGAAGCAGCAGCTGTCTACTGATAGTTCCTGCCGCCGGCCACCAGGTGGCAGAAGGGAACACAGTACCGTAGCCCTGCCCCAGCGATCGCGCGGGCAGGAAGACCGGGTGGGAGGTAGGTGGGGCCGAGGCCTGGAGGCGAGGTAGGAGAGTAGGCTTAGGCTGTCAGAGGAAAAAACGGGCGATGTGAGGACTAAGTATGGATCTCAGGAGGGGACAGGAAATATTGAGAACACCACCTTACGGGTTCAGAATAAAACCGAGGGAATGAGGAAGAGGTTTAAGGAGATAGGCTAAATTGGGAAGAATTCACGGGGAATCAGAGGGTGGAGAGGGCGTGGGTGCCTGGAGATGCCTGGGAACAGAACGGCTGAGGGGACTCCATTATCTGTACTCTTCCCGGGGTGGGTCTAGGTCTGGCTCCTCCTGAGGTCGGTTGTCCACCTCAGGGGCAGGAGGCCAGGGGTTTTCTGGGGGCTGGGGTCCTGCCGGCCAAGGGTCGTCAGGCCGGGGAGGTTGAGGAGGATCCGTTCTAGGCGGTTCAGGGGGCCAGACTCCAGTTTCAGGCAGGTCTCTCCAGGGACGACTGGGGCGGGTAGGCGGAGGATCTTCAAAGAGAGGGGGTGCCCCTGGCCAAGGGTCACCGGGGACTGGGGGGCCCTGAGGCAATGTTGGGGAGCCTGCCTCCTCTCGGTCCTCTGCGGGTGGGTGAGAGGGGTGGCCCTCGCTGCCTGAGATGCCTGTAAAGGAGGAAGGAGAAAGGTAAGAGGTGGTGAGGGCTTCTCTCCCCAGCCCCACCCAGCCCCAGCCCCAGGAGGAGGAGCCTGTCTGGACGGACGCAGCCTGAACTGACCCACAAACAGACCAAAAAAGTCACTCTCAAAGAGCTCTCGGTAGGTTTGTAAATACTTAACTGATGGTAAAATGTCATGAACCCCTACCCCCGATGGATCTGAACCGTTCACTTGACCCACTTTAAACTGACCAGACTTCTCCAAATAAGCTCCATCCACCCCTGGTTGGGGTACCCCACTAGCTTTGTCCTCAGGCCAACCTGCAACCCAAGGTGGGTTACACCTTGGCCCCCAGGCACACAGACCCCAGCTTTACAAGGACCCCAGCTCCTTAACACAGATCCCAGCTCCGAGGAAACTCGTCCCCCCCACGTTAATCCTGACCGACTTTGCCACATGGAGCCAGCAAACCATTTCTGGTGAGAGCCAAATGCACCTTCTGCACCATGTCCCCCACCCAATGTGTCCAGAAAGCCATTTCTGGTGAGCCAGATGCACCTTCTGCGTCCCCTGAATTCCTGTCCCCAACCCCATGCGTCCAGTTCACCTCCGCCATCTTGAGTATCCCTCATCACCCCAAACTGCAGTCCCTGCCTCTGTTCCCACCTCACCTCTGGTGTGCAGGCAAAGGACCAGGATCCCCAGGAGCTTCCAGTTGAGGATCATGGCTATGTACTGGCCCCCAAAGCTGGGGTGGGCTGAGTCTGGGTGCCTGGGAACCCCAAGAGGCTTTATAGGGGAGGAGTGGAGGAGGGACCAGCCCAGTGGCACAGGAATACCATCAGAACAGAACTGGTCAAACCCGTTGGGAAGGCCTGGGCTGATGTGTCACCCCTGAAGGTGGCGTCCCTTATTTTAGTCCTCCAGCCCAGGACCCAGCTGCCTGCTCTCCCTATCATGACCCAGAGCCTGCGTCACCCCACCCTGGTTTTCACACCCTCCATCCACACCCTGGAGCAGTCAATACCCACTTGGCATCTCCGTAATCACAGAGATGTCCACCTTCATCCCTTGCAACTATTGGAAGCCAAAGAATGGGAGCAAACCACACGATGGGCGTTGGGAAGCACCGTAATTACAGGGTTGGGAGGCAGGATGCCTGCGCTGGGGGAGGAGGTGCCTTTCAAACCTGGGATGCAGCTGGGACAGTGTCAGCTACTACCCCAGCCTCCCCACTCACCCCCGCACTGAAAGCTCCCCCTGGGGCTTCGTGCTTTCCTGGGCACTTCCCTTCCCCCATGGGATCCAGGCATCCTGCTCTCCACCATGTCCTTCTTCAGGCATGCAGGGGACCTCCAAGCAATGATATCCAAGGAATTCCATCTGGCAGCCACCCAGGATGACTGCAGAAAAGGAAGGACACAGGAGGATATCCTGGTTCCCTCTTCCCACCCAGAGCTGTTTGCATCAGTCCTGCCAATGGCTCCGGAAGAAGCTGCCAGGCTCCAGCAACCTCAGCCCCTTCCTCCTCCCTCAGGAATCCACCTATCCGCCTCTAGGACCTTGGCTCCAACTCTATTGTACTCGTCTCCTCCCTCCCATTCTCCTTTTGGTCTCAGCTCCTTGATCTAAGCCTCCCAGAGAGACCCCTAGAATGTTTCCCTCAAGGACCTTTCTGCCTGGAAGTCTGTTAGCCTTTCAGAAGTAACATGTCCAAAATAAAATTTGATTCCTCCCAGGTTGTTCCCTGCCTGGTCCGCTACCCCACAGTAAGGAACACCTTATTATGCAATGGCGTGATCTCATCTGTTCCCTCCAGGGCTCACGCAGAAACCTTCGTTACACTCCTCCACCATCCACCTGCAAGCCCCTCCACACCCTGTCCAAACCCAGCCCATCATCCTGAGCCACCATCTCCCCTGAGCCTCCCCAACACCCTTCTAATTGGCCCCCTTGCTCCCACTGTTTATCCCTCCCCCTCACACAAAGCCTGTCCTCCACCAGCAAAAGAGGTCTTAAAATATACATCACGCGGGCCTGGTGTGGTGGCTCGCGCCTGTAATCCCAGCACTTTGGGAGGCCGAAGCGGGCAGATCACCTGAGGTCGGGAGTTCAAGACCAGCCTGACCAACATGGAGAAACCCCGTCTCTACTAAAAATACAAAAATATTAGCCGGACATGGTGGCACATGCCTGTAATCCCAGCTACTCAAGAGGCTGAGGCAGGAGAATCGCTTGAACCCAGGAGGCAGAGGTTGTGGTGAGCTGAGATCACACCATTGCACTCCAGCCTGGGCAACGAGTGAAATTCCGTCTCAAAAAAAAAAAACATATATATATATATCAGGCCAGGCGTAGTGGCTCATGCCAGCACTTTGGGAAGCTGACACAGGAGGACCACTTGAGCTCAGGAGTTGTGTGCGCTGCTTCACCTGCAGCAAGACTGTGGGCAACACGTGGGAGGCCTACCTGGGGCTGCTGCAGTCCAAGTACGCTGATGGGGACGCCCTGGGCCTGAAGCACCACAGCCGCTGCCTGCCGCATGCTGCTGGCCCACGTGGACCTGATGCGGAAACTGCTCAATTATGCCCTCCTGGGGAAGTGACCTGGTTAGACCCACCCATCTGCTGCGCTGGGTGCCGGGAGCAATCGCTGACCACAGTGCGTGGATATGTGTACCTCACTCTGGAAGGGACCATCCAGTAAGTCCCTCAGGAAAAAAAATGTACACCAAATCATGTTGCGTCTTCCCTTTGTTTGGGGAGTGAGGACAGGTTCTCGCTCTCTTAGGCTGGGGTGCAGTGGTGCGATCACAGCTCATTGCAGCCTCAACCTCTTGGGCTCAAACAATCCTCCCAACTCAGCCTCTGGAGTAACTAGGACCATGGGTGCACGCCACCATGCCCTCCAATGTTTTTTATTTTTATTTTTTATATAGATGGAGTCTCCCTATGTTGGCTGGTCTCAAACTCCTGGGCTCAAGCGATCCGCTCACCTCGGCCTCCCAAAAAAGTGCTGGGATTCAGCTACTCCGGAGGCTGAGGCAGGAGAATTGCTTGAACCTGGGAGGTGGAGGTTGCAGTGAGCTGAGATTGTGCCACTGCACTCCAGCCTGGCAACAAGAGCAAAACTGTCTCAAAAAAAAAAAGTGCTGGGATTACAGGCGGGAGCCACAACACCGGGCCCCCTTCCCTGTTTTTTTTTTTTTTTTTAATTCTTCTTCTTTTTTTGAGGCTGAGTCTCGCTCTGTCACCCAGGCTGGAGTGCAGTGGCATGATCACGGCTCACTGCAACCTCCACCTCCCGTGTCCAAGCAATTCTCCTGTGTCAGCCTCCTGAGTAGCTGGGACTACAGGCTCACACCACCACACCTGGCTAATTTTTTGTATTTTAGTAGAGACGAAGTTTCACCATGTTGCCCAGGCTGGTCTCAAACTCCTGAGCTCAGGTGATCCGCGTGCCTCAGCCTCCCAAAGTGTCAGGATTACAGGCGTGAGCCACCACACCTGGCTTTCTTCCCCGTTTTTAAAGAAGTACTCCAATGGCTTTCTATTGACTTACAGTAAAATCCAAACTTGGCCACATCTCGGCCTCGCAGCAGCATCCTTGAGCATTCTCTACAGAGACCTCCTGGCCTCCACAGGAGCCCACTTCAGGCAGGCCTCTGCACAAGGTCCCCTGCTCAGAGGCCTCTCCCCAGAGTCAGTTTCTATCATATCATCGTACTGTACTTTCTCTTCAAGCACTTATTTGAAACGATCTCGTTCATCTGTTTAGGTCCCATCTGCTCGCTCGCTCTCCCACTAGGATGTAGGCTCTCAGGGTCCAAGTGGCCCCCAGGCTAATACAGTGCCTGGCTCTGACATTCCTGTTGAACGAGTGAATGTTTCATCTTCCCCACTCCTAGCATTTATCATCTTCCAGAAGAAAAGAGTTTTAAAACAAAAGTTGAGAATAAAGAAAAGCAGGAGCTTCCCAAACATTTCCAAAGCTGCCTAGAAAAAGGATTTGAAAAGGTGCCACCCATAGAGAGAGCTATGGGTGGGACCACTTCTCACAATCTCCAAGAGAGATGGCTGCAGGGAGAATTCCCACAGATTCCCAGAAATAACATTTCCAAACAATGGCTCCTTCTGTAGTCGTCTTTATTTAGAGCAGAATTCAGACTCAGCTGGTATCCCCCAGGGCAACCCCAGGATGGGGAAGGGCTGGTCTGTCCCCACCCACTTCTCCAGGATCCTCCCAGCCCCCAGGCTGGCTTTCCCTCCAACTGTCAGCTGCTTAGCTGCTCATCTGGGGATTGGAGCTGGAGCATCTGTCAAGGTTGTCTCCTTGACAAACAGCTTCCTCTTTGGAAATGGCTTCACTCAGGTCCTGCAGGTCATCGAGCAGGACAGAGAGGGACCCTGGGAAGGAAGACAGCAGATGAGCACCAGACAAGGGAAGGTGCTCGTGGTTACAGAGGAAACAGGGCTGGCACAGGAAATGAGGAATGGGAGAGAGGAGGCTCTTTGGTCCAAGCTGGGCATCGCTAAAAGAGGCTAAGGGCCTCGAAGGACCGCAGAGAACAACACTCATCATGCCAGAGTCTGAAGAGGAGATTCCTGAAGTGCGCGCATTTGTCCCTTGTCCCTTTGTGCTTGGCCCAAGACCTTTTATGGACTCCCTGGTGGGCACTGCTGCTGCTACAGGTGCAGATGCTGAACACTCTGGAGGCCTGGGGCTGGACACCACAGATTTCTTCTTATCCAGTAGGGAAGGAAGAACTGTCAACAGTCGCTGCTGCTTGTAACGGGAGAGGAGACCTTCCTGCTGCAAGGTGGCCTGGGAAGGAGAGGGTTAAACCTAGCCCGGATAGAGCCTCCCTCACCATCCTCTTTCCACACCTCTAGCCCAGGAACCAGCCCAGGATGGGCCCTAGTGTCTGCCTGTCTGCCCTCCTGTCTCCTACCAGCATGAGGTTCTTATCCCTCTCTAGCTCCTGCAAGCGCCGGGCCAGTCGCTGCCCCTCCTCCTTCCGGGCCTCCTCCTGCAGACGCCTGAGTTCCTGGCTCCGCTCCTTTTCCTGGGCGGCTCTGCGCTGAATCTGGCGCAAGGAGACCACTACAGAGAGGCCAAGGCACAGAGGAGGCAGGTGTGAGTCAGGCCAGAGGCAGCCAGGCACCATGAAGACAGGAACAAACGCTGGGTCACCAACTCTGTGGCTTGGGGAGGCTGTTCTGCTCTGTGGATCTGTCTCTTCTGTACAGTTGGAGGGGTGGGCTGATGCTCTAGGAGCCTGGGAATCTGAACCTAAGTATCTTCCTCATCCCTGAACCATCCTGGAGTTCCTCAGGGGAAATCTGAACATGAACTGGGTTAGATTTTGTGCAATTAGTGTTCACTGTCTTAAAGTGTGATGATTGCAGCTATATAGGAGAATTTACTGGCTTTGGGAGATGCGGCTGAACAACTTATGTTTACAACTTACTTAGGCGTGGTGGCTCACGCCTATAATCCCAGCACTTTGGGATGCCAAAGCGGGCGGATCACGAGGTCAGGAGCTCGAGACCATCCTGGCCAACATGGTGTAATCCCGTCTCTACTGCAAATACAAAAACTAGCTGGGCATGGTGGTGGGCGCCTGTAATCCCAGCTACTTGGGAGGCTGAGCCAGGAGAATGGCTTGAACCCGGGAGGCAGAGGTCACAGTGAGCCAAGATCATGCCACTGCACTCCAGCTGGTGACAGAGGAAGACTCTGTCTCAAACAACAACAACAACAAAACATTAAATGATTACAACTTAAAGTGATTCAAAAGATGTACAAATATGTGTGTATATAGATAAGAGACCAAATGTGGCAAATGTTAACTGCTATATTTAGTTAGAGAAGATACATTCATTACACAATTCTTTTTTTGACACATGGTCTTTCTCTATCACCCAGGCTTGAGTGCAGTGGCACAATCTTGGCTCACTGCAGCCTCGACCTCCCGGGTTCATGTAGTCTTCCCACATCAGCCTCACAAGTAAGCTTGGGGTACAGGTGCCCACCACCAGGCCTAGCTAATTTTTGTATTTTTAGTCGAGACAGGGTTTCGCCATGTTGTCCAGGCTGGCCTCAAACTCCTGACCTCAGGTGATACACCCACCTCGGCCTCCCAAAGTGCTTGGATTACAGGCATAAGCCACCGCGACCGGCCATATGCTGTTTCTTAATCTGGTGCTGGCTACATGGGTGTGTTCACGATGTGATAATTCATCTGTGCTACTCCTGGATACCTTCATTACTTCCTGTAATGAAGCTTTGAACACACTTTGAGGGGAAAATAATAACCTTATGTCTTAACACTTCCTTCTTCCTGGAAGGCCCTATCCACCCTGGCAAGGCTCACCGGCCTTGGCATGCTCCCTCCGAGCCTCGTTCAGCCTCCTCTCTGTGTCTGAGAGTTGCTCCCGCAGCCGAGTTTCCACTTCAGCCACCTTTTCTTGCAGGGCTGGGGTGAAAGTGCAGACGGGGCATATCAGCAGGAGCTTTGATTCGCAGTTCCCACCCCACCCTCCAAGGGAAGCACCCATTTCCCTCTCGACACCTTGCCCGTAGAGTTCCTGCTGCTGGGTCAGCTCCTGCCGCAGACTGGCAGCCTCCTCTGTGCTCTCCTGCTGGCCCTGGCGTGCTACCTCCAGCTGCAGCCCCAAGCTAGCCAGGGACTCCTGGGTCTGCTGCAGCTCCTGCTCCAGCTGCTGGGCCACCTTGCTCAGCTGCTGCCGCTCTGCCTCCCCTAAAAGGAGGGGGTGCTGGGTCAGGCCTCTCCCAGCACCCTAGACACTGGGTTTTTCCTCATCCTCTCCACCCTCTGGCAACCAGGTGTACCTTGCTCCCGAGCCCGGCCCACCTCCTGCTGGATGAGGCGGGCACTCAGCTGCAGTTCTGCATCCAGGCGGTTCCGTTCTTCCCGCAGCTGCTGCAACTCAAGGCTCACATCTGTGACCGGTGGTGGTAGGGGACAGCTGGGACGGGGAAGAGAAAGAGTCAGGAGAAATCACCCAGCTGCCTGATCCCAAAGCCCCCATCCCACCTCAGTCCTCATGGTTTTGGGGGTCCCAGCAGCCAATGCCCTAAAGCCCCATCCACCTCAAAGTGCACAAACTTCACCTCTCCTGGCGCAGCTGAGCAAGGGCAAGCTTTCGAGCAATCAGGCCTGGAGGGGAAAAAGCAGGGAGAAAAAGAGATGAAGTTTGCATGGGAGAAAGTGGGGACAGGGAGTAAGGGAAAAAGAGATGCAAGGACTGGTGAAAGGAGGAAGGTGAATGGATGTGGGATCAGAGAGAGCTGGGTCAGGAAGAAGAAAGTCCGAGCTGGTGGGGTGGGGGCAGGACGTGGCTCGCAGTTGTCCTACGCACCCCGAATGGTGTGGACCTTGCGGACAGCATAGCTGAGTCGGTTGTTGAGGCTGGGAAGCTGGGCGGCAGCCCCTTCCACCTTAGCCATGGTGGTCTCGAGCCAGATCTGAGAGCTGGAGAGGGCACAAGTCACTGATCCTCCATGCCTCCCCTCATTCCCAAAGGACTTGCTGTGCCTTGTATAGACAACTCCCTCTAATCCTGTCCCATTATACAAGTACAGAACGCACAGCTTCCGTCAATTATCTAAAGGACCCTTGCCCCAAGAATGCATTAAATGACTATCTTTTTAAGCAACCTGTTAAGCTTATTTCTCACAACTGTGTTTTGCTCACTATCGTGTATCAAAGAGTAAAGTTATCCTCTCTGGTCAGGGGCAGTGGCTCCTGCCTGTAATCCCAGCACTTTGGGAGGCCGAGGCGGGCGGATCACCTGAAGTCAGGAATTGGAGACTAGCCTGGCCAACATGGTGAAACTCTCTCTACTTAAAAACACAAAAATTAGCCGGGCATGGTGGCTCATGCCTGTAATCCCAGCTACTCCAGAGGCTGAGGCACGAGAATCACTTGAACCTAGGAGGTGGAGGTTCCAGTGAGCCAAGATCGCACCCCTGCCCTCAAGACTGGGTGACAGAGCGAGACTCCATCTCAAAAAAACAAAAGAAAACAAAGTTATCCTCTCCAAGCCCAGGAGTGTCGATCTAGCACCAATGACGGGCAGGTCCACATGCTTTACCAGCTGGCTGTGCCAGAAGTAGGACCAACCTGGCTCATGAAAACTGAGCAGCTTAAACAGGCCCCAGGAGGAGGCCAAGGAGTGTCTGGGGCCGGGCTGGGGTTTCCTCAGGAGAGTCCAGGTCTGCACCCACAGAAAAACACATGATGATGAAGGCTTGCAGCTGCATCCCCAGCAGCACAGCAAAGTTCACTTTGATCTGGAAATTGTTCCAGTAGATGCTTCCAACACCTACCACAGCTCTTATTAAAGTCTCCAATTACCTAGAGACAATCTAATAAACCCAGCAACAATCAGAGTTTGGACTGCTTTAAGCCTGGAGGACTTTCGGCAAATGCATCATTACACAGACCATTTCTGTGATCACCTGGTACCAAAGTCAAACCCTGACCACAGTGCATCTTTCTGTTCTCCTGGAGGTAGGGGGCACCCGCGATGGATTGAACCTGGGTGGTAGGTCATTATAACTAGTTTAATTCCGTGCAAGTTTGAAATTTTTCATAATTTTTAAAGCTAAATTAGTCCCTAAGGTACAAACCCAAGAGAAGGAAGTGGTGGGCAAGGACTCATCCTGCATCTTAATTTCGCTAAACCAAAAATTATCTTTATCTAAATTAACCCATCAAGAAGAGCCTCACGATAACAATAAACATTTACAAGCCAGAGACTGTGCTAAGAACTACCTGCCGGCCGGGCACGGTGGCTCAAGCCTGTAATCCCAGCACTTTGGGAGGCCGAGGCGGGCGGATCACGAGGTCAGAAGTTTGAGACCAGCCTGGCCAACACAGTGAAACCCTGTCTCTACTAAAAATACAAAAAAGTAGCCGGGTGTGGTGGTGTGCACCTGTAATCCCAGCTACTCAGGAGGCTGAGGCAGGAAAATCGTGTGAACCCGGGAGGCAGAGGTTGCAGTGAGCTGAGATCGTGCCATTGCACTCCAGCCTGGGTGACAGTGCGAGACTCTGTCTCAAAAAAAAAAAAAAAGAACTACTTGCCTTGGGTACCTCAGTGTCTAAGGCTGAGGGGAAGTCATCACCAGCACAAAGAAGCTTTGCTGTTTTCTTAGAGGTTTTTCTGAAGGTCATACAACAATTGTAGGTAATGAAACAACTAGGAAGTTGGTAGGAGAGACAAAGGCTGGCAATTGATTTAGAAGGAAACTAACTGGCTTACATTTTAGATGGAATAGTAAGCAAGTTAAGTATATAATAAGCAAGTAAGTATACAGCTTTAAATAAATAGACTAGGCCAGGTGCAGTGGCTCACACCTATAATTCCAGCACTTTGGGAGGCTGAGGTGGGTGGATCACCTGAGGTCAGGAGTTCAAGACCAGCCTGGCCAACATGGTGAAACCCCGTCCCTACTAAAAATGCAAAAATTAGCCGGGCGTAGTGGAGGACACTGGTGGAGGATGCCTGTAATCCAGCTACTCGGGAGGCTGAGGCAGGAGAATCACTTGAACCAGGGAGGTGAGGTTGCAGTGAGCCAAGATTGTGCCATTGCACTCCAGCCTGGGTGACAGAGCGAGACTTTGTCTCAAAATAAATAAATAAATAGACTAAATTTTTCTCCAGTGAAACGGATTGCCCGTAAAATTTTAGAAAAAAAAAGGAAGATGAAGTGTCTACACTCTCCATCCTTGAACAATACTGCAAGTGAAGATCCTCCCGGGTGCTCTATTTAGCTCAAGCCATTACTAGACTGAACTGCAGGAGGAAGCAAGGCCTCACCTCCAGCCAAACATGCAACGGGAAATTCATAACAAGCAATCAGGTATGAATGCAGAAGGGGCTTCCCCAGGAAAAGAAACGAACACAGGAACATTGATAGAGCTAAATCTGCCCAGCCCTGTAGCCTCCAGTGGCCACTTTCCAGCCCCTCTTGCCTGAGGATCCTCAGCAACAAGGTGCCCAGGAACCTGAGGTGGCAGAAACACTACTCCACCCACCCCTCCATCCCTGATACCTGCTGACAGCATTGACCACAAGCCTCAGCTGCTCCTCGGCTGAGGCTGTCTGCTGCTGCCACCGACGCCTGGCCTCCTGAGCACGGCTCAGCTCCAACTGCAGGCCCTGGGGAGGATGCAGCAAAGGACAGGGTCCCTCCCTAAGTCCTGGCTGCAGCCCCGGAACAGGGGCTCCCTTGCCCTCCCCGAGTCTCTAGTAGGCTGACACCAACCTTGGCACCCATACGCTCCACCTCCACCTCTGCGGCTTTGTCCTGCAGGGATCGCTGCAGGATGGCCTGCTCCTGGCTCTGGGATGTCACTTTTTCCTGGAGTGAGGCCACCTGGGGGAGGAGAGAGAGCTGGGCAGGGCCCTCTAGAGCTAAAAGATGAGGGGGGCACTGGAAGCAAAGTGGCAGGTGCAGAGATCTCTGTAAGAATGCCATGCAGGGGCTGGGGGGAGGGAGGGCGGGCGACGGGGGTGGGTCGCAGCACGGTGGCTCACACCTGTAATCCCAGCACTTTGGGAGGCCGAGGCAGATGGATCACTTGAGGTCAGGGGTTCAAGATCAGCCTGGCCAACATGGTGAAAGCCTGTCTCTACTAAAAATACAAAAATTAGCTGAGCGTGATGGCATGTGCCTGTAATCCCAGCTACTCGGGAGGCTGAGGCAGGAGAATCACTTGAACCTGGGAGGCGGAGGTTGCAGTGAGCTGAGATCAGGCCACTGCACTCCAGCCTGGGTGACAAGAACAAGACTCCTTCTCAAAAAAAAAAAAAAAAGAAAAGAAAAGAAAAAGAATGAATGCCACGCAGGGAGACAGAAGCTTAGGTTCTGAGGATGGAATCTGAGCCCAGTGTTCCATGTTCCACATTCCATGTGCCCACTCGAAGATGGGAATAGCCCTTGACACACCCCACAAGACCCACCAACTGACCATGCCACTCTCCTCAGATGCTGTCACCTCCTCAGAGAGGCTGTCTCTGAGCATCCTACCTGAGGCTGACTCACCCCACAGTCTCTCCGTCACATTATCTTTTGAATTTTTCTTACTACTTTCTTTTTTTTTGAGAAAAGATCTCGCTTTGTCACCCAGGCTAGAGTGCAGTGATGGGATCACAGTTCACTGTGGCCTCGCCTCGACCTCCCAGCCTCAGGTGATCCTCCCACCTCATCCTCCAGAGTAGCTGGGACTACAGGAATGAGCCACTATGCCCGGCTAATTTTTTGTATTTTTAGTAGAGACGGGATTTCACATGTTGCCCAGGCTGGTCTCGAACTCCTGACCTCCAGTGATCCACCTGCCTCGGTCTCCCAAACTGTTGGCATTACTTGACTGGGCACGGTGGCTCACACCTGTAATCCCATCACTTTGGGAGGCTGAGGCAGGTGAATCACCTGAGGTCAGGAGTTGGAGACCAAAGTGATCGCATTATAGGTGTGAGCCACTGCACCCGGCTTCAATCTTTCTATCGCACATATAATTACCCAACATTATCTGTTTACTTGCGTGTTCTGTGTCTCTGTTCTAGAATGCAAGCTCCACATTTTAGTTTTGTTCAGGGCTGTGTGCCCAGCATGTGGCAACCACTCAATAAACACTGGTTGAATGGATGCCACCTTCATGGAAGGAGCAAGGTGCTGGGAGGGAATACCGGGAGAAAAGAGAGTGCAGTGACCTGTCCCTTCAGCTGCTTAACAGAGTCACTGTGTTCCAGCTCCTGGGCCTTTAGCTGCACCATGAGGGCAAACACCTTCTCCCGCCAGCGGTTCAGCAGGGACTGGCACTTCCTGGTAAACTCAGGCTCCAGGGAATCTGAAGGTTGAACCTGAGGGAGAAGGAGTGGGAGAAAAGTGTGGGCTCCTGGGGGAGGAGAGGAAGGAGGTGGCATCTTTGTTTCTCCTCTGTCCTGCCTGGGCAACATGAGCTACAGCAAGAGGAGTTCACAGGAAGGAGATCTAAGCAGGTTCTGGGGCACATTGACCCCTCCTGCCCACAGGGAGGGAGGCAGGGGACAGTAGATGCAGGATGCGGCTGAGGGTGAGGGGTCTGGGGGTTGGGCTGTACCTTCCTGGTCAGCTCCTCCTCCTGCAGGGCGAGGATGTGTGTGAGGCTCTGCACCCGCACCTGCAGCAGCTCCGCGGTGGCATGCAGGCTGTCCCGGTCCTCCTGCAAGTGCTGCGGGCAGAGGAAAGCAGCCCCTCTGTAGGGCCTCCATGCCGCCTTAGGTACCACCTTCTCTCCCGGAGGCTGTGCTCTACACGCTCCTCCAAGGGCCACGCTTGCCTCCCAACCTGATCCCTAAGTCTGCACACAGATACATTCCTGCACCCTCACCTGCATGGTGTCCAGAAGCTTCTGTCGCTCCAGTTCCCATGTCTGGCTGTGGACCTCAGAAGGGACTTGTTCCCCAACATATTTTCTTAGATTCTCAACCAGGGTCACCTGAGCCTCCAAGTCTTCCTGGGTCTTGCTAGGGTTGGGGTGGGAATGGGACAGCCATCAGTGGGGCGCCCTGCAGATCCACCACATCACTAATTGCTGGGCTCCCGTCGGCGTCCGCCCACCTACCTCAGCTGCTTCCGAAGCAGCTCGGCCTCCCTCTGAGCCTCGGCCAGCTCCTTGGCTTCCCCTGCTCTTCTGGTTTCCAGACTACTCAGAGACTTCTCCAAGCCCTCAGCCTTGCTGGTCAAACTGGAAAGAGCCTCCTCGTGAGCCTGTGTCAAAGAGGACAGCTGCGGAAAGAAGAGGGGGCTCAGCAGAGGCTCGACCCCACATGGAGGCCTTCCTTGTTCCCTTCACTCCCACTTTCTGTGACCTTAGAGAATGACCCAACCAATCAGCCAACTGTGCACAGCAAATGGAGAGCTGGCAACTCACTCTCCGCAGCTGCCCCACAACCCATCAGGAGTTCTTGTCCGATCTCCCCCAAAACATATCTTCACCTCTCTGTCTCCGTCTCCACTGCCACCAACCCTCATCTTTTGCCTGGGCAACAGCGACCATCTCCTAACTAGTCTTTACAAACCCTCAGTGGCTTCTCACAGCATTCACAACAAAACCCAGGTGTCTCTCCACACCTGCAGGCCAGGGGACCCGGCCTCTGCCTACCTCCTGAGCTCACCCTGGAGGCTCTCCCACTGCTCCCCGCTCCGGCCACGGGGAGTCTGCTGAGAACCAGACAGCGGCCCCTCCTTGCTCCACAGACCCCAGGCGATAGCCCCTCCTCAGGGTGGCTTCACTGGGCCCTCTAATACTGTCCCTCCCCACCCTACTCTGCCCCATCAGCTGTTCACGTCCTCCTGAGCACTTAGCACTGACCATATCTTGCTTATGTGTATGTGTTACTATCTGTCGGACCACACTGGAAGGAAAGCTCCAGGAAAGGAGGAATTTTGTGTCTTTTGCTCATGGCACCTCAAAGTGTTGCAGGGGTGTCAGAGCCACCAAGAGTCATGGGATGGACTGGAAAGGAGGGCAAAGTGCCCACCCTGCTTCCTGGTCTGCCTCCTCTAGCCCTGTCTCCATACAACAATAAAATTAATTTGGGGGACATAAATGACAAAATTTTTTAGACATAAAATACAAATCTAATCATGTTATTTCCCTGCTTAAAACCTTTCAACAGGCCGGGCGCAGTGGCTCATTCCTGTAATTCCAGCACTTTGGGAGGCCGAGGTGGGTGGATCACAAGGTCAGGAGATTGAGATCATCCTGGCTAACACGGTGAAACCCCGTCTCTATTAAAATACAAAAAATTAGCTGGGCGTGGTGGCGGGCGCCTGTAGTCCCAGCTACTCGGAAGAATGACATGAACCCGGGAGGCGGAGCTTGCAGTGAGCCAAGATCGCGCCACTGCACTCCAGCCTGGGCGACAGAGCGAGACTCCATCTCAAAAAAAAAAAAAAACAACCTTTCAACGGTTGCTTATTACTTGAAAAAACAATTTTTTTTTGTTTGTTTTTTTGGAGATGGAGTTTCACTTTGTTGCCTAGACTGGAGTGCAATGGCACGATCTCAGCTCACTGCAAACGCTGCCTCCCAGGTTCAAGCGATTCTCCTGCCTCACCCTCCCGCCTCACCCTCCCGAGTAGCTGAGATTACAGGCATGAGCCACCACGCCCAGCTAATTTTTGTATTTTTAGTAGAGATGAGGTTTTACCATGTTGGCCAGGCTGGTCTCGAACTCCTGACCTCAAGTGATCCACCCGCCTCAGCTTCCCAAAGTGCTAGGATTACACATGTGAGCAACCATGCCCAGCCCTAATTTCTTCCATAAAATAGAGATGGGGGTCTCGCTTTGTTGCCCAGGCTGGTCTCAAACTCCTGGGCTCAAATGATCCTTCCACCTTGGCCTCCCAAAGTGCTAGGATTACAGGTATGAGCCACTGTGCCCAGCCTGCTCATTGCTCTTATGGGAAAGTAGCAAGTTCTGAAGTGGCCAAAGCCTTGTGCCCTGGGTCCTGGGCTCTGCAGCACACTCAGTGCCCCTCATCTCTGTGCCCCAGCCTTCTGGCCTCCTGTCCCCGCCTTCACCTGTTGTCCCACCAAGTGTCTTCCAGCTACCACTGGACTTCACACGCCTCTTCACTGGCCAACTCCTATTCAGCACAAACGGTAGCTTGTTGTTTTTTTAGTCTCGCTCTGCTGCCCAGGCTGGAGTGTGATGTCAGCTCACTGTAACCTCTGTCTCCCAGGTTCAAGCAATTCTCCTGCCTCAGCCTCCCAAGAAGCTGGGGGATTACAGGCGCCCACGACTATACCCGGCTAATTTTTGTATTTTTTTGTAGAGTTCTTCATGTTGGCCAGGTTGGTCTTTAACTCCTGGCCTCAAGTGATCCGCCCACCTCGGCCTCCCAAAGTGCTGGGATTACAGGCATGAGCCACTGTGCCTGGCCTAGCTTCTTGTTTCTAAGTTTCTTTCATAAATCTCCTTTGTCCATTTTCTGATTGGATTGCTGGTCTTTCCCTTACCAATTTCTAGGCACACATTTTATATTAGGGATATTACCCTTTTCTTGTGATCTGAGCTATAAATATAGCTTTTTTTTTTCTTTTTGGCTATTCCTAATGTTCATGTTATAAAGTCAATGGATCAATTTTTTCCTTTATGGCTTCTAGATTTTGGATTTTGACTCACAGGTAGAAAGGCCTTGCCCACTACAAGGTTATAAAGGAATTCTCCCTTGTTTTCTCCCAGTTCCTTTTTTATTTTATTTTTTGAGACAGAGTCTTGCTCTGTCGCCCAGGCTGGAGTGCAATGGCACAGTCTCGGCTCACTGCAACCTCCACTGCCCAGGTTCAAGTGATTCTCCTGCCTCGGCCTCCCAAGTAGCTGGGATTACAGGTGCGCACCACCATGCCTGGTGAATTTTTTTATTTTTAGTAGAGACAGGGTTTCGCCATGTTGGCCAGGCTGGTCTTGAACTCCTGACCTTGTGATCTGCCTGCTTCGGCCTCCCAAAATGCTGGGATTACAGGCGTGAGCCACTGCGCCCAGGGCTATGGTTTCTTTCCTTGACATGTCAACTGGTTACAGTGGCCTTCCCTGAACCCCAGACTAAGTTAGTGCTTTCTAGTCCTTCTCCTTCAAGGCATTCCTCCTGATTGCAATTAATTATGATTAAATTAAATGTGGATGTGTATATCCCCCACGAGGCTGTCAGTTCCATCCACGAAGGCAGGACTCAGGCTAATTTGGTCACTGAGTCTTAGAGATGGCAGAGTAAGTACTGAGTTTGAGGACTGAATAATCTCTCTCTCCCAGTCCACCATAGCCCCCTTATACCCACCTTCCTCACTGCCCTCCACAATACCCCTGATGAATTGGTACCTGGAGTAAAGTAGGGAGGCAAACTATTTCCTACTAGAAAGGGAAGCAGGGCTTCAAGTGGTGGGAGGCCACCTGAGTCTTGGGGGAAAAGTGCAACCTGAATTAAGATAAAAGTACCCAAATTCTCCATCTTTCTAGCCCATGTGTGTTTATTTTCACCAAAGGTCTCATCACTCTACTACTCACTACTCATGGAGGGTCTTTTCTGCAATACCTGTTCTTTGCTTGGAAGCTACTGCCCAGCTCTCCGTTATGAATTTGAATCCTTTCTACCCCTGCATTCACCTGCTCTTGGTGCAGCCTCTGAACCTCTTCCAGCTCCCGCTGCCTCCCCTCTTCCAAGTTCTTCCGGACAACCTCAGCCCCAGCCAAAGCAGCACGCAGGCCCTCAGCCTCAGCTCGGCCGGCCTTCTCCGCCCGTGCCAGAGCCTCTAGCTCCATGGCCTGGGCCTCTAGCCTCATCTTCTGCTGCAGCGAGGTCTCCCGCAGGAGCCGGACCTCCTCCTCCAGCCGCCGCAGCTCTTGCAGCTGCCGAACGATCACCTCAGCCTGCTGGCTCAGGGCCTGTGACCCCTCCAGCCCCCAGGACCTTCAAAGACAGGTTAGTGCAGGTGAGACTTGTCTCCAGTGCTGGAAGGATAGTTGAGGGCATAAACATAGCCAGGAGAAGGAAAAGAGGACCCCTCTGCTTCCGTGTGGGGAGGTGAAGGGGGTGCTGAAGCTGGGGTATGGGGATGTCTGCATTGACATCATCATCATTCATCAAAGCCCTATTGAGCATGTTGAGTCCAGTGCCTGGACTCACAGGACCTAAAGTCTGGCTGAGATCGTGGAACATGATCTCCCTAGAGAGAGCTACATACAGGAGGATTCAACATCAAATGTGTATATCATTAGGCCACACATTCTTTTTGTTTTTTGGTGGTTTTTTTGTCTTATTTATTTTTTTATTTTTAGGCCACACATTTTAAGTGGAAAGGTTGGAAGAACACACAGGGACTTCTCAATTCTAATTTAAGGGCAAGAAGTTTGAGGGAGGAATGGGCATAGAGAGGTCGTAAGCTTCCAGTATCAATATGGTGAGGCCAGGTGCTAGTTAAAAGGCATTTATTGGCTGGGCGCGGTGGCTCATGCCTGTAATCCCAGCACTTTGGGAGGCCGAGGCGGGCGGATCACGAGGTCAGGAGATCGAGATCATCCTGGTTAACACGGTGAAACCCCATCTCTACTAAAAATATAAAAAACTAGCTGGGCGTGGTGGCAGGTGCCTGTAGTCCCAGCTGCTTGGGAGGCTGAGGCAGGAGAATGGCGTCAACCTGGGAGGCGGAGCTTGCAGTGAGCCAAGATCTCCCCAGTGCACTCCAGCCTGGGCGACAGAGTGAGACTCCATCTCAAAAAAAAAAAAAAAAAAAAAAGGCATTTATTGAGTGTTAGGTATACTTTATGAGGAGTCTGAGAGAACAGTACATAAATAACACAGTGCCAGCCTTTAGAGAAATCGTCTACCAATGTCACGTGAAGTTTAATCCAGCTTGGAACATGGCTCCTGAGGCAGCTCTCTGAGACCCAGGACTATAAGAGATTGTTGTTGTTGTCGTTTTTAGAGACAGGGTATCACTGTGTCACCCAGGCCTCAATGCAGTGGCTGGATCATAGGTCACTGCAGTCTTCAACTTCTGAGCTCAAGGGGTCCTACCACCTTAGCCTCCTGAGTAGCTAGGACTACAAATGCATGCCACCACAGCCAGCTAATTATTTTCTGTGGAGACGGAGTCTCGCTTTGTTGCCCACGCTGGTCATGAACTCCTGGGCTCAAGTGATCCTCCTGCCTCAGCTCCCAAAGTGCTAGGATTATAGGTGTGAGCCGCCATATCTGGCTCGCTCTTTCTTTCTTTCTTTAGTAGCAGCGATCTGTAGGCTAGGGAAATTAAGTGACTTGCCAAATGTCCTCTAGCTGGTAGCCAAACTAGAAATAGAGTCTCTGTCTCCTGACACCCAGTCTAGTATTCCTTCTTCATCATGCTGCTTCTTCTAATGTAATCCTATTCTGGAGCAAAATGGCAGAATGATATCCCAGTACATCTGGGAAAAGACACATGAAACAAGAATAAGAATGTTTACAGATAATACGACAGCATGGCCAGCTCCCACAGCATGTCCTCTGTAAAGGCTTTCTTCCATCAGAATGAACCCACACTGCCACAGTGCTGGGTCTCTACCTCTAGTTTGCACTTCTTCATCTTGCCTCATACCATGCTTTACCATCAGCTGGTGGTCAATCTATCTCCCCTCTTAGGATTTTAGATTCCTTATTAATTACAAATTTAAGTCAGGATTTGTCTTATTCACTATTGTTATCCTCATCCCTAGCACTTAGCACACTGCTTTATTATTTATGCACTGTAGGAACTAATTGCTTACATAAAAATGAGTACGTTCTGGAAACTAGGGCCGAAATAGGGTAAGGAGTTTATTCCAGTGAGGAAGGGTCACTAGCAAGCAAGCCTGAGAAAACGGCGTGGATGGATCCCTACCTGCCTCTCCGCCCTGGCTCCTGCCTGTCACTGGAAACATCCCGTTCCCACATGGTCACTTGAGGTCTCTGGGTGTCTAGCCGCCTCTCTGAGACATCTTGATGGCCTGGGGGTTGGACCAGGGGAATGTCTGAGAGCCAGGTGGGAGCCATTCTTGGCAGAGTTGAAAGGGGCCGAGCTTGAAAGTGGGAGGGGGGAATCAGCCCAGTGGAACCTGAAGAATTACAAAAACAAAGATGGTCAGTTTCCCAGGCAGAGACAACCACCACTCCCCTTGTCTGGTCCCACTGACCTGAAGGTGGAAACATCTCCACATTATTTGAAGGCTCTAGATTCTGTCTTCAGCCATCTATGTTCCCCTGGACAAGAGGAGAAACAAAGACACTCCAATTCAATTTTCAGGCCACCTTCCAAAGAGAAAGCCCCTACAATAACAAAGTCATAATCCTTGAATTATAGCCAGGTCCACCCGATGCTTAGCTCTTTTCCTACTTCCCCAAAGTAGGAGATACCCCAAATTCACTTGCTTGTCTCAACCTGGTTCCTCATGGAACCCAAGCAACTAACTATCAAGTGGAGAGAATTTACTGAAAGAGACAGACTGAGAGGGGCTCTGAGGCTTTACTCATACTTTCAGGATTCTGGGCAGTGCCTTTACCCTCCTCCTTAAGTTTCTATGGTCCCTGCTGCTCCTGGCCAGAGGTGAGAAAGGAGGTACACAGTGCAGGGGTCTTGAGCGCCATCTCCAGAGTTCTCTCCATGGCTCAGCAAGGCCTGAGGGAAGCCCATCCAGACACCAGCAGGCCATGACTCTTGGGTCCTTCCCTGTTAAAGTGCTGGCCCAAGGCCTGGCCCCAGCTGAATGTGGCCACATGCAGGGCTAGACCCTCCCCAAGACCTTGGGAATCCAGGCCGCCTAGATCCCCAGGCAGAAAAGCCAGCGTCCTGACATCTTATTCAAATCTTTCCTGCGGCTGTTCTCTCAGCTTCTCTCTACTATCCCCTTAGCTTCCATGCCTGCTGCCCGCCTCCTCTTTCTCGAGTCCTAACACATAGTGGGCACTTGAAGATCTTCCTCCCACCCTCCCACCCTCATTAATCTATTTTTTACCCGAATCTGGGATCCCTACTCCCGTCCCTTTTTACAACCTAATCTACCTTTTTCTGAAGGAATTATTCTGGTCCTGACCCTCACCCCCATCTCTCAATAGCCTGCCCTCGCCCCCTGTACGCTAGCCGGCTCTACTCTCCCACCACTGCTCCCCTAGATACCCGAGGCTTCACCCAGTTAGCCCGTGAGCTCTAAGGCTGTTCTGATCTCTTCATCTGTCCCTTCACCTGGCCCCTGTACCCCCTTCCCCTTTGGACCCCTTGAACCCTCCCAGGACCCCCGCTCAGCCCCTTCCCGCCCCCAACCGACTCTTCCCGAACGTCCCTTACCAACCGCGAGAGCCCCCTACTGCGCTTTGGCCACACCCCCTACGCCTCGCTCCCGGCCCCGCCTCTGCCCCTGACCGCGCCTGCGCAAGGCGGGCGCCCTAAAGTCCTATTTCACTCTGTTGGGAGGAGGGGGAAAGGTGTACGCAGGCGCAGTGGCGTCTAAATTTGGGCCCACTAAATGCGTCGGAGCATCTCCGCGCCCAGGCGGCTCCTCCTCACTGCGGCAACCCGGGAAAACTTGTGAACTAATCAGAAAAAGTGGAAGGCGGGAGATCTTGGGGCGCTGTCCAATGGCGCGGAAGAGAACAAATGAGCTGGCCAATCGGGAACGGCACGGGGGCGGGCTCGCTCGGCGCGAAGTTCGGGCCCGGGAATTCCGAAGGAGGGGTAGGCGCTGCCCGCGCGCAGAGGCCGCGCCCCTCCTGGCCCCGGCTTCTTGGCTGTCAAACAGATGCAGCAACGTCGGCTCCTGCCGAGGAGCCCAAGGGGTCCCGGGATCCGCCGCACAGGCTGGCACTGCTTGAAGAGGAGGCTACTCGGAGACTGCGCCGCGCGGGTAGATCCGAAACGGGGCTGGGGCGGAGTGGGAAAAGGCCGGGTATGCCTTGCATGATCGCGGGGAGCTCCTTCCTGTTTTTATCCCACCTAGAGAAGCCGGGAAGTAGGGGTTTAGGTCCAATTTGTTGGAGTACTTAAGGACTCGTTTGCACTTTCTTTTGGGGGATGACAGTGGATTCATTGCCCTCGGAGGTTCAACCAGTTATGAGTGAGGGATTGGCCAGAAGATCGGGGCGCAGGCAAGCAGGAGTGCTCTATTAGGATAAGCAAGTTTGACAGGAAGAAGCTGCTCTTCTCCGAATTACACAGAGGTGATGTGTTCGTATTGCACGTAGACGTGTGTATAACAGGACCTCCTTCCCCGCGCCCCGCCACCCCGACACACACAGGAGCTGCCTAAAGTATCCTTGCCTTGCAGATTGGAGGCTCCCCAAATATTTTGTGATCTGAGGATCCAGCTCAAGTGAGGTGCCATAGGACGTGTTCCTGAGTTTGCATTGCACGGAGACCTTCCTGGAATTTTTCATTTGCAAGTCGGCTTAACCAATTTTGCATTGAGTCCTAGGCTGCTTGCACTCTGAATTTGGGCTATTCAGGTAGTGTGCTCAAAGTTGAAACCGCATACAGCACAACTCAAGTTTGCATCAGACTGGGAAGCGAACTTAAGCCAGCGGTGCGTGGCCCAGGAGTGGGAAAGGAAATGGATGCCTGAAGTGGAAGAGGTGGTGCAGAGGGGGCACCGCCCATGCTGCCCTGCTTCCAACTGCTGCGCATAGGGGGCGGCAGGGGCGGTGATCTCTACACCTTCCACCCCCCCGCCGGGGCTGGCTGCACCTATCGCTTGGGCCACAGGGCCGACCTGTGTGATGTGGCCCTGCGGCCCCAGCAGGAGCCTGGCCTCATCTCTGGGATCCACGCCGAACTGCATGCCGAGCCCCGGGGTGATGACTGGAGGGTCAGCCTGGAAGACCACAGCAGCCAAGGTGAGCATTAAGCAGGGCAGCTTTGCCCCTGGGTGGTTGAAGCGCCAGGCTGGAATGAGTAAGGTCTCCACAAGACCCTGCTGCCTGCCTCCCATACTCCCATCAGATTGGATGGATAGTCGTGGTCCAGACCTTCATCTTCCCACCAGAAGTGTGCACAGTCAGAAGCTCTCTGCCAGACTGACCCTTTTTGGTCCCGTTTAGCTCATACAGGACCTGGGATATCATCAGAAAGATATCACAGTGGGGATGTTCTGAGGCCACTAGAGGCCAAGTTTAGACTTGATTCAGTTTCCAGCTTTGCTGAGGCACTCTGTTCCTGGGTTAGGGCAGTTCTATGTTGAATAATGTTTTTAATAATCTGGGCATGTCTTTCTCCGTGACTTGAGGCAGTTAGCCTCAGAAAGCCTAGATTCACATTTGAGTTTTGCCACTGCCTCTTGGTAAAGTCAGCTGTAGGAGTGTTATGGTTATTAGACTATAGTAGCCAACATTCATCTAGTGCTTACTGTTATGAGCCAGGCCCTATTTTAAGTGTATTGAATGTAGGTGGTACTAATATTATCCTCATTTACAGTAAAGGAAAATGAGGCACAAAGAGGTTAAGGAACTTGTCCAGGGCTGGGCATGGTGGTTTACACCTATAATCCAGCACTTTGGGAGGCTAAGGCAGGGTGGATCACTTGAGCTCAGGAGTTCGAGACCAGCCTGGGCAACATGGTGAAAACCTGTCTCTACCAAAAAATTAATTAATTTTTTAAAAAAAGCCTGGGCGCGGTGGCTCACGCCTGTAATCCCAGCACTTTGGGAGGCCGAGATGGGCAGATCACGAGGTCAGGAGTTCGAGACCATCCTGACCAACATGTTGAAACCCCATCTGTGCTGAAAAAAAAATACAAAAATTAGCCAGGTGTGGTGGCGTGCACCTGTAACCCCAGCTACTCAGGAGGCTGAAGCAGCAGAATCACTTGAACCCGGGAGGCGGAGGTTGCAGTGAGCTGAGATCGCACCACTGCACTCCAGCTTGGGCGACAGAGCGAGACTCCATCTCAAACAAACAAACAAACCAAAAGCTTGCCCAGGGTCACATAACTGGTAAGTGGTAGAGCTAGGATCTGAACGAGCTGGAGCTGGGGGAGAGTGAGCATGTTTGAAAACTGGACCTTAGGGCGGGGCACGGTGGCTCACGCCTGTAATCCCAGCACTTTGGGAGGCTGAGGCGGGCAGATCAGGAGGTCAGGAGTATGAGACCAGCCTGGCCAACATGGTAAAACCCTGTCTCTGCTAAAAATAAAAAAATTAGCCAGACGTGGTGGCACATGCCTGTAATCCCAGCTACTCAGGAGGCTGAGGCAGGAGAATTGCTTGAACCTGGGAGGCGGTTCAAGCTTGGGCAATAGAGCAAAACTCCATCTCAAAAAAAAAAAAAAGAAAGAAAAAAAAAGAAGAAAGAAAGAAAATTGGACCTTAGGACAGTGAGGGCAGGGATCCTTTGTAGGAAAGCACAAGAAACACAGACTTGTTCCTAGCTGACAAGGAGTGTACTGCCTGGTACCTGTCACCTGCTGAGGGGCTTAGGATGTGAGGGAGAATCTGACTACAGTTTCATATTCTTCCCCAGAAATCATACAGATTTCTCCACTCCTGACTCTGGTCATTTCTGTTTTTGTCCTCCATATTTGCCTGGTGCCCCACCATCAACAGGTACTTTGGTCAATAATGTCCGACTCCCAAGAGGTCACAGGCTGGAATTGAGTGATGGAGACCTCCTGACCTTTGGCCCTGAAGGGCCCCCAGGAACCAGCCCCTCGGAGTTCTACTTCATGTTCCAACAAGTACGAGTCAAGCCTCAGGACTTTGCTGCCATTACCATCCCACGGTCTAGGGGAGAAGCCCGGGTTGGGGCTGGTTTCCGGCCTATGCTGCCCTCCCAGGGGGCTCCACAGCGGCCTCTCAGCACCTTCTCCCCTGCCCCCAAGGCCACACTGATCCTAAACTCCATAGGCAGCCTCAGCAAGCTCCGGCCCCAGCCCCTCACCTTCTCCCCTAGTTGGGGTGGACCAAAGAGCCTGCCTGTTCCCGCCCCACCTGGGGAAGTGGGGACCACGCCTTCTGCTCCACCCCAACGCAATCGGAGGAAATCTGTTCACCGAGTGTTGGCGGAACTGGATGATGAGAGTGAGCCTCCTGAGAACCCGCCACCGGTCCTTATGGAGCCCAGGAAGAAACTCCGTGTAGACAAAGCCCCACTGACTCCCACTGGGTAAGTGGAGTCCTCACTTGGCCCTCTCAGTGTTTTACTGCTTTTCGATTCCTTGTATCCCTAGGCTGTGAGGAGGTCCCCCTGCCTGGGGGGATGGGCACGGGAGGTGGAATAGATGGAATGGCAAGACCTGGGTTAGCTCTGATAGGAAAAGAAAAATATGTGCAGGAGAACATGAGAGGTGGGGTGGGGCAGTGCTTATAAAACAACCGGAGTGAGCATGTCCTGCTTTTTACATTCATATGGCTTTAACCCCATTCTTCTAGTGCCTAAGGATGGGGAACTTTCAGGCTCACACTAGAGGTTTTTAGGCCCACCCTATGTGTTTTTAAGGACAGAGTCCAGGCTCACCTTAGTTCTCAGACCACTGTGCCTCTGTGGCCTCACCCTATGACCAGCCATAGGGTGGCAAGGTCTAGGCCTTCTCCTACAGGTTTCCGGTGACCCTTGTGTCTGTGTCACTTCCTTCAGAAATCGACGTGGCCGTCCTCGGAAGTACCCAGTGAGCGCTCCCATGGCTCCCCCTGCAGTTGGGGGCGGGGAGCCCTGTGCAGCTCCTTGTTGCTGCCTGCCCCAGGAAGAGACAGTGGCCTGGGTTCAGTGTGATGGCTGTGACGTCTGGTTCCATGTGGCCTGTGTTGGCTGCAGCATCCAGGCTGCCAGGGAGGCCGACTTCCGATGCCCAGGGTGCCGGGCTGGCATTCAGACCTAAGGTCCACCGCCAAGGCACCATCGGACACACCTGCCCATGAGTAGACACAGCAGCGAGCAAATAGGTCTGATAAATACCCCCCTTCCCTTCCCTCCCCAAGAGGGAATGACTACAGGGAAGAAGGATGGATTGATGTGGACTCATTCAGGGCCTGGAGCAGACCCTGGTGGCCAAGACAGAAGAGATGGTTTCCTGCCAAAGATATTGCCACCTCCAGGAAATTGCCAGTGAGCTGGAAGTTCCCACTATTACAAGCCATAAGGCCATGTTGCCATGGACACCAGAATATCTGTAGTCAGAGCACCTATCAGTTGCAAAAGCCATGCCTGCAACCGATGGAAAATGTAAGAGGGAGTTCTTAAGGTTCTTGGTGGCATCACCCAAGGCATTCTGGGAAAACCTAGGGCCTGGCCCCAAAACTTCCCTACTCTGTGGCTAGTCCTGCTGCCAACAAAATCGTAGCGACCTGGCTTTTCACAGCTTTGCTTTTATTTCCAAGTCAAGGACAAGCCGCTTCATTCACTCCTGGGCATTTACTCTTCTTGTGGGTCTGTGATATTCCTTGCTTTCCAGGGAGAATGTGCTTGGCAAGGTCTGGAGAACTAATTCAGAATCTTAGGGGAAGGGGAGAGATGGAAATACAAACCTGCTTACTGGAAAGGTGCAAATATATGGGTTGAGCTGGAGGTAGGAATACAGGTAATTAAGGTTTCTAGTTTAAGGGAAAACAGATCTATTGCCATTTAAATAAGGTAACTGGGATTTGGTTAAGTTCACAAAGATAGCAGAAGATTTATTTACAGGCTTCACCTGTACTGTCAGGGCAAGAGAAAGCCTGGTAAACCAGCTACAGCAGTTTACCAGTGTGATGGCTGTGACACAGCTCCACTCCACGGGTGGACACAGCAGAGGGCAACTGGGCTGGCCTGGTTCAGTGTGAATCAAACCGCTTAACCCACACATGGTACATGTGATTTTCTTTTGTGAGCCTTACACCAAGCCAAACTATTGTCAAAGCATCATTTCTATAGAAATAAAGCCTTATCTTGACCTGTTCTATTAAAACCTGCCACATCCGCCCTTTCCTACCTAGATTTAATGAGCCCAAGTTTTTTTACATGGAAGAAATGACTCTGGGGCAAAGACCCCTAATGAACTAGTGGCAGAGCCAGGAATAAAACTTGAGTAACTAATGAGTCACTTATGGGCAGAGTATGCAAAAACCTTAAGTGGAAACCAAATAGACCCTGGTATCAAGAAAGCACAAAGTATTAATAGAAGTTTCTGGTTGGGGTGATCTAGGTTCAACAGAAATAAGATGATTTCTAAGTATAAAGCCATTTAAGAATTCCAGAGTAGGGTGGGAAAGCAAAAAGCCAGCTCTGAACAGGTAACAGCTACATGGTGACTGAGTCTATGGGCAAAAGTTCTTGCATCACAGGCTTTTGGGAACTAGCCTATCACAGGGCCCTGTACAAATAAACTTGGCTGCAATCCCAGCTCTCCCTCTGATGTTGTGTGACCTTAAGGAGTGTAAATGGCACCTTAGTTTCAGGGTCACTTGGGTATGAGCATTGGATATTCCCATCCCCACCTCAGTAACTGAAGGACAAACCAAGATAAGTGTGTCTATCTACTGTGTCCCAAGCTTCTTTATTTAAGAAAAAAGTGATACATGATGTGGGATTAAAATCAAGAGCATCATTGAACTTCACCTTCCCTCCAACCAGTTGCCCCAAACTCCCCTGCCCCCACCCTTTGTGTTCCCAATTCCTTCCTTAGTGAATGAAGAACTTAATCCCAAAAACCCTGGCACAAACTCCAGGTTTTCTTTCCCTAGCTCCTCCCCTCCCCCTGTCCCCCATTCCTAGAAGGGCAGGCACCTCAGTTTGAATGCATGGGAGAGCCCAGAGTGGTGACAGAGACAGGGGGAAAGGCTTCCCCCTCAGGGAAAGGGACCGAGGAGTACAGTGCAGTGAAGTGAGGGCTCCCATAGCCTGGGGTACCAAAATGGGGCCCTGGGGCCAGAGGAAAGGACACTGGTCCCCCTGAGAAAGGAGACCCAGCAGCCTCAAAATCCTCTCGTTGTGCATAGTCGCTGCTTGATCGCTTGCCCTTCTGGCGCCGGTTACAGAACCACACTCGGACCACCTGCCAGTGAATGACAGAAAGGAGAATGACATTAGACAATGAGCTGAGAGACGGGCCTGACTCTGCTTGGACATTCTATCCAAAGCCAACAGCCCTAGAGCAGTTAGAGGAGGACATTAGAGAATGAGCTGAGACAGGCCTGACTGCTTGGACATTCTGTCCAAAGCCAACAGCCCTAGAGCAGTTGGAGGAGCCAGAGCTAGGGAAAGCGAGGTGGTGACAGGGGAAAGAGATGGAGCCCGCAGAGAGACATGGCACTCACATCCTTCTCGAGCCCAAGCTGCTGGGCGATGTGGCTGATCTGCTGCAGTGTGGGTTTCGGGCACTGCAGGAACAAATTCTCCAGGTTGCCTCTCACTCGGTTCTCGATACTGGTTCGCTTTCTCTTTCGGGCCTGCACGAGGGTTTCTGCTTTGCATATCTGTGCAGGTGGGAAGGGGGTGACAAGGGCAAGCTTTGGACTTGCTGAGTAACAGCATCACAGGGGTCTGTGACTAGATGTGTCAGCAGAGCCAGGTGGTGGTGTGAAAAGGCAGGATCCTGGAAGGGTTGGCTCTGGACCTTATCCCAGCAGAACTGAGGAATTTCACTCCATCCCACTGAGAACCACTGCACCAAAGACGGAGAGCTACGAGCCAGTGATGGAAGCAATGGAAATTAGGCCAAGAAAGGGAAGGTCCCCGGGTATCCCCCTCCCACCCTTACCTCCTGAAGATTTTCATTGTTGTCAGCTTCCTCCACCCACTTCTGCAGCAAGGGCCGCAGCTTACACATGTTCTTGAAGCTAAGCTGCAGAGCCTCAAAGCGGCAGATGGTCGTTTGGCTGAATACCTTCCCTGGGGGAGGCCAGTCAAAAGAGAAGCAAAATGAGGGAGCACGCAGGGCCCTTGTGACCCTGAGATCCAAGCTTACCACCTCTTCCCAGAGGGAGCTCAAAGCCCAAGCATCTTCTCCCTCTCCCTACTCCTCTTCATGGGTGAGGGTAGAGTCTGCCCCTGCCCCTCCCCACTAGGTTCAGGGATACTCCTTAGAGGGGAGATGCGGTCAGAATCTGCAGAGGGGAACCCACCAAATAGAACCCCCAGGGTGAGCCCCACATCGGCCTGTGTATATCCCAGGGTGATCCTCTTCTGCTTCAGGAGCTTGGCAAATTGCTCGAGTTCTTTCTGCAGAGCTTTGATGTCCTGGGACTGGATTTTAAAAGGCAGAAGACTTGTAAGAACATAAACACACCAGTTATCAATCTCCCCTTTCCATTCGGGATTCAAGAACCTACGTGTGGCCCCAAGGAATAGTCTGTAGAAGTGCATCTGCCTTCCAAGCTGCCCACCTAACTTCTAGAAATAACCTACCCACAAATGTCATTCACCCATTCCCTGTTCACTGACTCATGCATGTAACAAAGGACTACTCTTCCCCCAGAAACTGGCACATCCAAGGGATGCAGAGCATGGTGAAAGGACAGAAAGAGAGACCCTGGCCTCGAGGAGAACACCTGTCAGGTTATGAAGGTTAGAAGTTCTTTGCTGGGCGCGGTGGCTCATGCCTATAATTCCAGCACTTTGGGAGGCCGAGGTGGGCAGATCACGAGGTCAGGAGTTCAAGACCAGCATGGCCAACATGGTGAAACCCCGTCTCTACTAAAAACACAAAAATTAGCTGGGCACGGTGGCACGCACCTGTAATCCCAGCTACTCAGGAGGCTGAGGCAGGAGAATCACTTGAACCCGGGAGGCGGAGGTTGCAGTGAGCTGAGATCACGCCACTGCACTCCAGCCTGGGTGACAGAGCAAGACTCTGTCTCAAAGAAAAAAAAAAAGAAGATAGTTCATTTAATACCTGCAAAATTCTCTCACTCAAGTATCACCCCCAGTTTAAGGATGTTTTGAGATTAGAGAAATAGATAAGCTGCTAAGTTCTGGGTTAATTAAAAAGGAAGAGCATCATGTCTCAGAAGCTAAATTCAGTATATACTCTCCCCAGCTTGCTTTGAGGGTCCCACAAACTATAACATGGCATGCATACACACAAACACAGCAAAAAAGTAACAGGTGTCATAAGAATGGATAAAGTGCTTTGTGTGTACTTACTCCTCATTTTTTAAATTGATTATCCCTCATCTTTACTGTATCTTTTTCACTATAGAGGCATCCTAATTGATTTTTAAATTCAAGAGATTTATCGAGCACCTTCTATAAGCCAGCGGCTATACAAAGTGGACAAAGAGCCCTGACATCCAGCATGACAGAAGTGCTATTCGGCACTTGTTCTTCAAGTTGCCCACTTGGATCTCTTCCAAGTGCACTTTCCTTTTTTCCCTGCCCTATAACTTTTTAATAATAAACTTCCACTCCTGCTCTGAAAAATAAAAAAGTAAATAAAATAAAAAATGGCCAGGCACAGTGGCTCATGTCTGTAAATCCTAGCACTTTGGGAGGCCAAGGTGGGCAGACTGCTTGAGCCCAAGAGTTAGAAAGCAGCCTGGGTAACATAGTGAGACCCGTGCCGCCCCTTCTCCCACCCCTGCTGCCTCTATTTAAAAAATATATATATATTATGGAAAAAAGCAAAGCAGTCCGGGCGCAGTGGTCATGCCTGTAATCCCTTCACTTTGGGAGGCCAAGGTGGGTAGATCACTTGAGGTCAGGAGTTCAAGACTAGCCTGGTCAACATAGTGAGACTCTGTCTCTACTAAAAATACAAAAATTAGCTGGGCATCATGGCGCTCCCCTATAATCCCAGCTACTCAGGAGGCTGGGGCAGGAGAATTGCTTGAACCTAGGAGGTGGAGTTTGCAGTGAGCCAAGATCGCACCACTGCACTCCAGCCTGAGGGACAGAGTGAGACTCCATCTCAAAAATTAAAAAAAAAATAAAGCAGTCTATAGGAGTAGGGTAAAGGAGGGAAGGAGATTATGGAGGAGGGTGACACTTTTAAAGACAGAGAAGGTGATTGTTTGAGCAAAGGACAAGAGTCTAATGTGGCAAGGCCCTGAAGTGGGCCTTCCAGAGCCCAAAGCTGGTCTGGTGGCTAGGTAGATCCTGTTGCAGACATAGTGACTTTGTTTTAGTCCAAGTGAAATGATCTCTCACCCTTTTTCTCCCCCCCCAAGACGGAATCTCGTTCTATCGCCCAGGCTGGAGTGCTGTGGCGTGATCTTGGCTCACTGCAATCTCCGCCTTCTGGGTTCAAGCTATTCTGCCTCAGCCGCCTGAGTAGCTGGGACTACAGGCACCCACCACCATGCCCGGCTAATTTTTGTATTTTTAGTAGATATGGGGTTTCACCATGTTGGCCAGGCTGGTCAGGAGACCTCAAGTGATCTGTCCACCTTGGCTTCCCAAAGTGCTGGGATTACAGGTGTGAACCACCGCACCTAGCCTCACCTTTTTTTTTTTTTTTTTGAGAGTTTCGCTTTTGTTGCCTAGGCTGGAGTGCACTGGCGCGATCTCGGCTCACCGCAACCTACATCTCCCAGGTTCAAGCGATTCTCCTGCCTCAGCTTCCTGAGTAGCTGAGATTACAGGCATGCGTCACCACGCCCAGCTAATTTTGTATTTTTAGTAGAGATGGGGTTTCGCCATGTTGGTCAGGCTGGACTCGAACTCCCAACCTCAGGTGATTCGCCTGCCTCGGCCTCCCAAAGTGCCTGGCCACACCTTTTAAAACACTGACTCTAGTTGACGTGTTGGCCACAGACAGTAGGGAGGAAGCAGTATAATTTGAGAAGCTACTGCGGTAATCCCAGCAGAGATGATGGTGGCTGAGGCCAGGGTTAGGTTGTGATTGATTCAGGATGTTTCTTAAGGATAGGATGTAGGACGTGAAAGAAACTGAGGATGACTGGGTTTGGCCTTGAGCAACTGGGTGATCAGGGTGGAGCAGTTCAGGGAGCCATCACAAGAGACAGAAAACGCGGTAGTCATCTGGTGTCTAAATGGCATTTAAGCCTTGAGGGTGGGTGAGAGGAAGGAAGGGTAGATAGAGCAGAGGTTGAAGGACTGAGCCCTGGGGCATGCCATATGAGGCTGCCGGCGGACAGAGGTGCACAGCTAGTGAGAAAAAAACAAGGCCTTTTTGTAGTCCTGAAGCCTCAAGGAAGTGTTTCAATGGTGCTTGATCATATCAATTTCAAATAGGCTGTTTTCATCCCCAACTTCTGCTCAGCCAATAACTCAAACTGATAAATGCCCTCTGCTATCCTGGATTTTCCAAATTCTGTTTTGGGGTTTTGGAATAAACACTGGTCCAAATCCTCGCTTCATCATTTAGCAGTTAAAACCCGTTAAATAGGATAATAATACCTCCCCCTAGGAGATTTTGTGCTGGTTAATGAGATAATGATGTATAAACGGAGCACACAGCCAGGCACTTAGGAAGTGGACCACAATTGCCAGCCATTATCATTCAAGGCTCAGCAGTGACCTCCTGCGAAGAGGTTGGGGCTTCTCGGTCACTCCAGAAACCAGTCACACCTTTCTGTGAGGTCTCAAGGCTTAGTATTTAATCTCTAATTGCTTACACTTGTCGCCTTGGAGGACTGGAAGATACATCTTTAATAGTCCTCAGCAGGGCTGGATGCCTTCAATCCCGCAGCAGCTCTATATTTGCAAATGGCCTGGAGAAATCTCTCACCATTTTTCTTGTTTACAACTTTGGAACTGAGGCTGAAGTCAATCAAAATCCAGCTTTCTACAAGGGGTGCCAGGGTGTGCACCTTAACACAGTGGCCAGTCATTGGCCTGAGGCAGAGATCCGGGGAAGACAAGCCCTATACTTGACTGGAGGTAAACCCAGCTCACAACGCGCACACACACAGCCCAAACAGGAGATCCTATCAGAAACGAGTCACACCCTAGACTTTCAGGAACAATAATCCTGGAATGAGCACTGTTTTTACCCTCAGGCTATGCTTAACCCTAAGGCCAAAATCTTGGGTCTGATAAGGGTCAAATTTTCAAGCAGGACTAAGGGTGGGAAAAGGGGCTCAAACCAACCCCAAGCTGGGTCTGGTGCTGGGCCAGTAATGAGTGACCAGACCCTGGGCAGGCCTAGGAGATGTGAGAGACCCTGACAAGGGCTGGGCCAGACAGAGCAAAGGCCAGCCTGGGCCAGCTTCCGACTCTCCCAGGCCGCTCTGCCCTCACCTGCAGTTGTCTCTTCGAAATCCAGCTTCCAGTTCCCACCTGGCCCCTGCCTGCCAGGGCTGCCTGCAGTTGATACACACCCCTCCCTGGCCAGGGCAGCTGACCCTGCCTGCTCCTCTCCTGGGTGCCAGGTCTGGGCAGCTGCAGGTGACCACTTCCCCATCAGGCTGCCCTGTCATGACCACCTCCCCACACCCCAACCCCGTCGAAGCTCACTTGCCTCCTCCGGGTTTTGCTCCAGCTTCTCCTTCTCCAGCTTCACGGCACCAGGGGTGACGGTGCAGGGCTCCGGGGAGGCCCCATCGGAGTTGCTCTCCACCCCGACTCCTGCTTCGCCCTCAGGCTGAGAGGTCTCCAAGCCGCCTTGGGGCACTAGCCCCACTCCAACCTGGGGCCCACAGTACGCCATCCCCCCACAGAACTCATACGGCGGGGGGCATGGGGGAATCCCCCACACCTCAGAGCCTGGCCCAACCCCCGGCCCGATTCCTGGCCCTCCAGGAGGGCCTTGGAAGCTTAGCCAGGTCCGAGGATCAACCCAGCCCGGCTCCGGCCCCCCTGGCCCATCACCTCCACCACCTGGAGGGGGCGAGAAGGCAAAATCTGAAGCCAGGTGTCCCGCCATGGGGAAGGAAGGCGCCCCAAGCCGGGGGCCTGGTGAAATGAGGGCTTGCGAAGGGACTACTCAACCCCTCTCTCCCTCCCCAGTCCCACCCACTAGCCTTGACCTCTGGCCCCGCCCCCTGGATGGGTGGAGGAGAGGGAGGTGGGGGGAGAAACTGAGGCGAAGGATGTTTGCCTAATGGTGGTGGCAATGGTGTCTGTGGAAGGGGAAAACCGGGAGACACAACTGGCGCCCCTCCAGGACCTCAGTGCAGGTCCCCCACAGAAACTTTTTTTATTTTTATTTTTTAAGACAGGGTCTCACTTTGTTGCCCAGACTGGAGTGCAGTGGAGTACAATGATGGCTCAATGTAGCCTCGATCTACTGGGCCAAAGCAATCCTTCTGCTCCAGCCTCCTAAGTGGCTGGGACTACAGGCTTGGACCACTGTGCCCTGTTAGTTTTTTTATTTTTAGTAGAGATGGGGCCTTGCTATGTTACCCAGGCTGGTCTTGAATTCCTGTCCTCAAGAAATCCTCCCGCCTCTGCCGCCCAGTGTCATGATTAAAGGCGTGAGCCACCACACCCAACTTTCAACTCCCAACCCGCTCCCTGGCACTCTCTCAGGCTCTGCACATCCCAGCTGTCTGGAATCACTCCCACACCTCCATGTTCTTCAGGAACCCAGGTGCTTGACCCCCTCTCCACAGACCTCTGGCACTGTGCCTTCAGGGGCCAGTCACCCTCTCAGCTCCTCAAATTTATTGAATGTGTGTGTGGCGCTATCCCTCAATGCATCAACAGCCATAAGCACAATGGCCAGCTGCTCCCTTATGCCTTCCCCCGATCCATCCAGAATCCTAGGCATTCCCATCCCGATACTGGCCAAATCCAGCCACCCCGCAGCCTGGGTGCCTGGCACCATCTGCCCAGCCTGCCAAATTTCACCCCATCTTCAAGAGTAGACTGCCAGACAAGGCCTCCGTGCTATATCCCCCCACCCCCCATCCCCCCACCCCTCCGTCTTCCAGAATCAGACTCCAGACTCTCCTCATCTAACAGACTAAGGGGTTGGCCCCTACTTCCCCTTCAAGGGACCAGACTTTGGACTGATTGGGCCTCAGTTTCCCAACCTTTGCTGAAACAGAGTGATAAGACACCCGCTTTGGGCCCCCTCCACTATGGAACCTGCACATCAGGTTCCTTGCTCCCCTCTCAACCAAAACTCAGACATCTAATACCACGGTAGGCCCCGTTCTCCCTCCCCCACCTCCCTGGCCCAGGCCTCCAGCCCTAGGCCCTGGGTGGGGAAAACCAGGGGGTGGGGGGTGTGGAGAAAAAATATCTGACTTCAGGTTCAAAGAAGCCTGGGAGGGACTGGGGGAAGGGGGCAGGACAATGGCCTTGGCTGGACAATCCCGGTCCCCAGAGGGGGCAGCTCTAACCCTAAACAAGTGCTCAACCCTTGAATGGGCCTGGATGGCTCCCCTGGGGACTGCTTCCTGCTCCCCAACCCCCCAGTCCCAATCCCCTCACACAGAATCCCCTTCAGAGACGCTAAAAGGAGCTCCAGCAACCCCCCTCTGCCAATCCCCTCAAAGACTGAGCCTCAGACGGGCACCAAGGGCCCCCTACAGGGACCTAGGTATCTAGTTCCTCCTTCCTCTGGGGGACTCAGGCGTCCAGCTTCATCGTGCATCCCTCCCCGAGCCCGGAAGATTGAGGGATGTGCTTTGTTTAGTGGGGCTGGCTGGCAGAAAGACGCAGAGGAGGTGGCGAGTGATTTGTGGAGGGGTGCAGGAAGGCTGCCCTAAGCTCCCCTTCAGGGTCTGTTTTTCTGGGCCTGGCCTGAGTATCCTGAGGCTCATGCTGCTGGTCTAGTGCTTGATTCTGTTTGCAAGAGAATAGCCAACGGAATGCCTGTCTGTGAGGGATGATGTTTGTCTGTCTGCTCCCAAAACTTGATCTCAGTGGAGGGCCTGGGGTAAGTCTGGGGGCTCCAGAGGGGGCTCTGGGCCAGGGCTCCCCACAGCTTCGAAGGCCAGAAGGCCAGGTCTGGACTGGGCACGCTGACCTCTGTCGACTTAAGTAAGGCTTCTCATTGCAGGCTCCAGGCTCAGCCCTGCCTGGGCTTGTCTGCTGGGGTCAGTGGCTCTGTCTGCCTTCTAAGGGGATGGGTGTCCCGTGGCCAGCTGTCTTCATCTTGGTGGCATCCGTGAGTCTTTTGAGACTTTTCCCCCACTCTTATGTTGCCTCTGTTCGTGTGCCCATCTCCTGTCTGTGTAGACTTTTTGAGCCTAATTGTATGCGTGCATTTCAATACCTGCCACAGGTCTGCCGGAAGGTCTACAAGGCAGTGGGGTTGCAGCTGTGTTCACTTCTCGGCCTTTAACTGCCCAAAAGGCAGGTAGATTATGGGGCCTGGTGGGGGTGGGAGGAACATGCTTCGGAACAGGAGGAGGCCCCTCCCCAGCCATCTCAATCCCCAGGACAGAACCATCACGGCACCTTTGTCATGCATCTCTCTGCTGTCTGCCAAGAAGACGGCCTCTCAGAGGAGGGGGAGGGGCAGGCCTGGGATTTGGCTGGAATCTCCACACCAGTGTTTCTCAGCTTGCCATCCTCCAGGTTCCCCAAAAGCGCTCTTCCCAAGCCAGTCCAGAGAGTCCCTGCTGCCCATTTTCCTAGTGGCTCCTAAAACACCTTCCCCAATTTCCCCACTCAACACCACCCTCTTGTTTTTAGATTATAATTTGTACTGTAGGTGGTGTATTTCTGGCCTGGGCAAGAGGCCCATTCCCGAGAGGGACGCAGACAAGGGGTGGGTGCCTGGGTCCCTGGCTGCCTTGTGGCTGGATATGAGCCCAGTCAGGGGTCAGCCTCCTGCATGCCTAGACTCCTAGCCGGCCCCCTTCTGGGGTGCTCAGGGCTGATGGGAGGTTGAGGCAGGCTTTCCTTCCTTCTCACTGTCCTGTTATGCCTGAAGGGTAGGTGGCTTCACTTCAGCCAAGGCCAGCTCTCCCAGGCCCCAACCAGTGCTGGGGGCCACCGTTGGGCCTGGAGGAGACTGGAAGCCAGGCTGAGTCATCAGAACTGGTCCCATGATTCCCTGGGTTTTAGAAAGTCACCATAAAAAGATACTTCACACACACCTTTATTATTACAGTGCAATGTCAAGACCCTTCACAGAGCACTGCCAGGGGACCCAGGTGAGGCCCACCTCTCCCCACCAGGTGTGGCGGCTGGCATGGCTGGGTGGGGAGAGGTGAGATGAGCAGCCTTGCTGCTCTCAGCCCAGCCTTCCCTTCCCCTCACTGGGAGATGAGGTGCTGTTTGGTTGAAAAACCAGCTGAAAAAACTCAGTTGGGACCAATAGAGACTTGCTCTCGACCCGGTCTAGGAAACCACTTATTTTGACTTCCGAGGCCTGTCAATCTGAAGGCAAAAGAAAGGGAAGAAATGGAGGGCTGAGGGTTCAGGCTTGGCCCACCTTGGGAGATGATCTCCCTTAATAGCAATTTAGACAAATTCCTTTGCTCACTGTGGACCAAGTCCCCTCTTCTCAACAAAGGACCCTCTGATCTCCCCCATGAGACCTGCAAACTGAGGTCACCTTATCCCAAATCCAGACACTCTTACCTCAAATAGAGGAGTCAACTCTCTAGCTGTAGCCTGTAGGGAGTCAGAGGTGAGAGCAAAAGGAGTGGGTGAGCTGGGAGGATTGGTCAGGAACAAACTAGGAGGCATGGACCAGGTTCTAAGTCCTGGCTCTGACTCCCTGGCTAATGGCACCTCCCCCTCCTGTGCCTCAGTTTCCTCACCTAGTAAAGAGGATTTGGACTCAATGAACTCTAAACTTCCTTCCAACTAAGACATAAAATTGCTACCCCGCTCTCATATGCCCTCCCATCTACCCACCCCACTTACTTGACATGGGAATGTAGACTTCTCTGCACACCTGTGAAGAGAAATGGGGGTAGGAAAGCTGGGAGTGGTGTTCAATGAGAAGTTGGCATAGGCCTCCCTGTACCCTGCCACCTACCTCCAAGCATCCTTCCTGGGGAATCTGGCAGGTTTTCCCCTGAAGTTTGATCAAGAGATATAGGAGGAGGCCGGGAGCGGTGGCTCATGCCTATAATCCCAGCACTTTAGGAGGCTGAGGCGGGCGGATCACTTCAGATCAGCAGTTCGAGACCAGCCTGGCCAACATGGTGAAACCCTGTCTCTACTAAAAATACCAAAAGGTGGTTTTTTTGTTTGTTTGTTTTGTTTTTTTTGCATGTGGTGGTGCATGCCTGTAATCCCAGCTACTCAGGAGGCTGAGAAACAAAAATCGCTTGAACTCAGGCAGCAGAGGGTGCAGTGAGCTGAGATCGAGCCACTGCACTCGGCAACTGCATTGCTACATGCCTCCAAACCCCAGCTGCTCATCTGAGGTTGCACAGAGACTCAGCATCAGCCTGGTGCATCACCAGACAGGAGAGCCTATGCTCACGTCAAAGGGATCACAGCAGACTGCTGGCTCTGGGCATCTGAGCAGCGCCATGCAAGGGGGCAAGTGGCTTAGGGTTCCAGGGACTCAGGGGCTGGGGCAGCCCATCCCTCAGCTAAGTTAGCTGGACACTGGAGGATAGAAGTCAAGGGCCTAGCATGTTGGGATGGCTCCTCTCCAGGGGCTTTGCAGAGAGTCCCATGCACCAAGGGGCTAGCGGGACAGGGAAAAGTGGTGGCAAAGACCTCCCAGACAAACTGGCTGCCTCTGGTCCTATCAAGCTGCCGTACATCCTCCACACCAGGGCTTTAGGCACCATTCCACTGTGTTCCATGGTGACTGTAGGTGATGCCCCACCTTGAGAGCCCTTGGGTGCTCAGCCCTGGGTCAGAACTTGAACACCAAGTGGGAAAAGGGCTGACCAAGCACGGGAGAGGGAAGGAAAGCAGAGTGGCTAGGACGGTCAGCAACAGAGCTGTGTTCATTTAGGACATGGGTATTGAAATGGAGTTTTGAAGGCTGGCTGAGGGGCCTGCACTCCATCCCTCCCACAGTGCCCTCAGCTCCTCCACCTTCCCCACATGAACCAGTCCGCACCTATCACACCTACGGTGGGCCGTGGTCCCACCCCAGCTTTCAGGTATTTCCGGAGAGGGTAGACGCAGCTCTAGGTCAGGAAGGATTGTTTCCTTCCCTTCTCTCCTTCTGCAGCTCTGCTTGGTTCTGGCTGGCTTTTGCTGGAGTTGAAAGACTCAAGTGTGCTAAGAAGGGAGTCCTGGCCATCACAGTTGTAGTGCCAGTGTCCCCAGCTGCTCCGGTTCCCCAACAACTCACAGACAACCGTGGTCTGGAGGGTGTGTGACTCTGAAAAGCCAAAACCCCAGAACTCCAAAGTTACAAGAGGTCAAAACAGTGGCTCTCTCCACCTCCGCTCCTACCTCCTCCCAAAATGCATGAAATTCCCTTGCTCTGACTGATAAACCCTCACTCATTCTCCAAGACATATCTTCTCTGTCAACCACATCCCCACCAAAGTCACACTGCACCCGCTCTCCCTCCCCTGCAGCATGTGGCTCCCTCCCATGTACCCAGCATGCACTGTTCAGCCACATATACTCACCCACCCTCCTGAAGGCCCAGCACAGACAGCATTGTGTTTAAATCCCTGATCTACACATCAGCTACTGGCTATATGCCCACGGCAAATGTAATGGAACCTCTCCAAGCCTTGCTTTCCTCATTTGGCAACTGGACACAATTATAGTCTCTACCACACAAGTAAAGATAACATGAGATAATCCTTGCCAGTGTTAATGTAGGACCTACCAAGAAGAATTCAAGAACTAGTAGCTGCTATTGTAAGGTGTATTATTGGTAACAGCAAAATGAACAGCACTTACTAGGCTTAAATGTTTGCTAGATGAAAAAAAATGATATTGGTTAGAAATATATTTTGCTCAGGTCACCAGGTTTCTTATTAACTACTGGTGGTGGCGAGAGGTGAATGTCAGAAAAAGGCCAGTTTTTCCCATTTCCTGGATTTGAGAAAGTTGGATAAGTTTTTTTCACCTGGCCGGGTGCGGTGGCTCACGCCTGTAATCCTAGCACTTTGGGAGGCCCAGGCAGGTGGATCACGAGGTCAGGAGTTTGAGACCAGCCTGGCCAACATGGTGAAACCCCATCTCTACTAAAAATATAAAAATTAGCCAGGCGTGGTGGCAGGCGCCTGTAATCCCAGCTACTCAGGAGGCTGAGGCAGGGGAATCACTTGAACCTGGGAGGCGGAGTTTGCAGTGGGCTGAGATCGTGCCATTGCACTCCAGCCTGGGCAACAAGAGCAAAAAAAAAACAGACTTTTTTCACCTGAAGGGAAGGCTTGGGAGCTTAAGGACAATGGCTTATTTCTTAGAGACCTAGTCCTTGACTGAGGGAAAGGGTGAGGGTCTTATACTTCTTTTTTTTTTTTTTTTTTTTATTGAGACGGAGTCTTGCTCTGTCACCCAGGCTGGAGTGCAGTGGCACGATCTCGGCTCACTGCAAGCTCCGCCTCCCGGGTTCATGCCATTCTCCTGCCTCAGCCTCCCGAGTAGCTGGGACTACAGGTGCCTGCCAGCGCACCCGGCTAATTTTTTTTGTATTTTTAGTAGAGACAGGGTTTCACTGTGTTAGCTAGGATGGTCTCGATCTCCTGACCTTGTGATCCACCCGCCTCGGCCTCCCAAACTGCTGGGATTACAGGCGTGAGCCACTGCGCCCGGCCAGAGGGTCTTATACTTCTGTCCTACTCTTGCTAATACCTAAGACCCAGTCCTTTTGGCACCACTGGGTACATAAAACAAGGTTTGAGTCAGGGATGAACTCCCCCAGGCAGGAGGAGATAGCATCAGGATCTCAGTGAAGTGGGGTGGTATCTGAGTGCCTACCTAGCACAGTGCCCCACGCAGAGCTCAATGCATCTTAGCTGAACAATAACGAATGCAGCTGCACATCTTCAGGCCCATATTGAGCTCTTCTCTCTTTTCTGCCTCCTCCTGAGCCCCCAAGCCCAATTACGTTGGCTCTGGTTGTCGTGTGCCATGATGCTCCCCAGGATGGTGACAAGGTGCTGGGCTCTGGCCTTCAGTCTGAGAACCAGCTTCTCCCAAGCTCTTGGGTCCCTGGCCTGAGCCCAGGATGCACGGGGCTCTGCCCACCTGCCCTCCTTGCAGCATCATAAGAAAGGGTGGTCATCCAGGTAGCCTGAGACTTCGTAAGGGGCTTGCCCAGGGCTGGGCTGGGAAAGAGTAATGAAGTCATAGCACAGAGAGTGGGTTGCTGAGGAAAAGAGAATGATGGGAAAAGGTTATTTTCCAACAGGAGTCTTACCTGGGAGACACTGCACAAGGTGCCTGTATGGTGAGGCTGTGTGACTATTTTTGAGGGCACCAAAGGAGTGGGTAAGGGGAATGCAGACTGAACAATGGGAAGGGAATCTCTCGTTTCCCTGCAGGGCCTCATCTAGGCTCATTGTTTTAAATAGTAATGACTCCCAAATCTCTTCATCCCTGTTCTTCACATTGGTATATCCAACTACCTACCTGTTGGTCATCTGGACCTAAGGTTCCATATGGCCTTAAATCTGACACATCTAAAACTGAGTATTTCCTCTTGGCCCTGGCCATGGAACAACCTGCCTCTCATCCTATATTCCTGGTGAGTGGCATCATCCTCTCACCTGCCTGCTTACTCAAGCCAGAACTGGGTTGAGGTGTGGGCAACTACCGGATGTCATGTAGCCTCCTGGCACAATAGCATGAAGTGAGCTGAGAGGTCATGGAACAAAAAGGCTCACAGACCAAATGTAAATGCTCAAATAACATCGTTTATTAAATAAATGTAAAACACATTCTGAGAAGCAGGAGGCAGGTGCTGGGGTGGGTCAACACACGGGAGAGGGGGCAAGTTGGGTGGAATGATCGATCACACCAGCTGAACTGTGGGTCATGCAGTGTGCATCCATCCTGTCAAATTGAAACCTCCTGCATCCTGAGTGCCTCATGTCTCATGTATTTAGGGTACCGTGAATATTTAGTGCCTCCTTGGTCTTTCTGTCCCTTTTGATCTCTGTACACACGAATACGTTGTACTATCTACAGATGACTAATTTAGTTATCTGTGTGTAACACTTCTTTTGAGTTTATTGTTTTCCTGTCTTCTACAGCAGAATTGGATATTCCCAAACAATCTGCAAGTCTGGTGTTTATCCTAGAGTGCTGCCTCCCTTCACACCCCCTAGTTTCAAACAGTCAGCAAGCCCTGCCCATTTTTAACTTCCTGTTTCTCCAATCTGGACATTCCTCTACCTCCACCAAACCAGCCCATAGTATGGCTTGCTTGGATTATAGCCAGAGTCTTTCTAACTGGTCTCTCTCCCTCCAGTCTTAAGCATATAAAATCTGTCCTCCTTGATATAATCAGAGTGATCTATCCAGAAATACATATCAGACCGCATACCTCTCTGCTCTTCCTCTAAGGATTCCCCTTTTGTCCTCGGGATGGTTTCCAAGCTCCTTAGCAAGCTAAACAAGGCCCCTTGAAGGCTGCCGTCTCCACCCTCATCTCCCACCACACCCTGCCTTCACCTGACCCACTTGGAACAGGAAGGTTGGAGCACCTCCATACTCCTGCAGTTCCACCTCCCAGTGCCTTCCTGAGATGGTCCCCTGAAGGGAAGACCCATCCTTCCCTTCTCCAAACACCACTTAAACCACTTAAACCCTTTCATTAAACCCTTACCCTGGCCTCAAACCATCTACCACGCTGCTGTACCCCTTTATTTCAGAGACGGCTCTGACTTTCACTCAGAGGTGACACTCACCCTACCACTTGTCTATGGCTGTGCATCCCTCTTGGGGCCATCTCTTGTGGACAAGAATATGAGCCACATTCTTCATATATGAGAAAATTACACCAATCTCAGAGGATTAGAGGTCATGCCAAAAAACACACCTGGTAGTTATGTTTAAATATATTTTTAAGGCTGGGTTAAAAACCACGATGAGGCGAAACCCCATCTCTACTAAAAAAATACAAAAATTAGCTGGGCCTGGTGGTGCACGCCTGTAATCCCAGCTACTCGGGAGGCTGAGACAGGAGAATCCCTAGAACCCAGGAGGCGGAGGTTGTAGTGAGCCGAGATTGCACCACTGCACTCCAGCCTGGGCGACTGAGTGATTCTCCGTCTCCAAATATATATATACACACACACACATATACGTATATATATGTGTATATATGTATATATATATATTTTTTAACAAACATAGCTGCTATCATTGGCTCCTTTTCTCTTTTTTTTCGAGACGGTCTCACTCTGTCACCCACGTTGAAGTGCAGTGGCACAATCATGAGGCCCACCCCAACCTCTGCCTCCCAGGCTCAAGCGATCCTCCCACCTCAGCCTCCAGAGTAACTGGGACTACAGGCGTGCACCACCACGCCTGGCTAATGTTTTTGTATTTTCTGTATTGACAGGTTTTCCTCATGTTCCCCGGGCTGGTCTCAAACTCCTGTGTTCAAGCAATCCTCCGCCCAGCTCGGCCTCCCAAAGTCCTGGGATTACAGGCATAAGGACCTCCTACGGCCAAGTTTAAGCTTCAAGTGGGAGACATGGGACAATTACTTACCAGATACAACCAGTTTCAGAGGAAGCCCTACCTACCCTCTAAGCCTGACCTTATCTTGCAACCTCCATCGCCCCAGACCTCCCCCGGCTCCAAAAAGCACTCCCAAGAGGCCTCATAAAGGCCACAGTTTGGGGAAGGTTATGGCTCAGGGGAAGGGGAGAGGTGCTAAATAATTAAGCCCCCCTACTACTCAGCACCCGCGTGAGGCATCGTCAGGCATCGTCAGGCCTCCAGTGGTGGTGGTGGCACCGGGCCTCAACCTCCCCGGAGGGCTGGACTCTCGCTGCCAGGCTGTGGGGATCAGGCGTTGTGGGGGAGGGGGACACTTAACAGGTATGGAGGGCGGAGCAGAGCCCCGCAGTCACTGGCCTGACTTCCGGAACGAACCGTCGCCAGCAAGCACAGCAGTAGGACCAGGGGGATGCAAGAGCGGGGGCGGCCGGGGATCGTGCTTCTCGCTCAGGTCCAGATTCCCGGCAACCAGGCCGGCGGAATCACGTGCCATGCTCCAGGCCAGCGTAGTCCCGCCCATCTTCCAGCTGAGCGTACCGGGAGGCTCCCATTGGACTGGAGCTGCTATGGAGGCGGGACTTTCCCTTTTTCTTGAACCCCATTGGGTTAAGTCCAGTCCGAGACAAGCGTCTCTCCTCAGCAGTGGGAGGGGTGATTTGGCTCATCCATACTTAGGAATTTGGGGTTTGAGGCCGGGTGCGGTGGCTCACGCCTGTAATCCCAGCACTTTGGGGGGCCGAGGCGGGCGGATCACAAGGTCAGGAGATCGAGACCATCCTGGCTAACACTATGAAACCCCGTCTCTACTAAAAAAATACAAAAAAATTAGCCGGGTGTGGTGGCGGGCACCTGTAGTCCCAGCTACTCGGGAGGCTGAGGCAGGAGAATGGCGTGAACGCTGGAGGCAGAGCTTGCAGTGAGCAGAGATCGCGCCACTGCACTCCAGCCTGGGCGACAGAGCAAGACTCCGTCCCCCCAAAAAAATAATTTGGGGTTTGAGACCCGGCGCGGTGGCTCACGCCTGTAATCCCAGCATAATCCCAGCACTTTGTTGGGGGCCGAAGCGGGCGGATCACCTGAGGTCAGGAGTTGGAGACCAGCCTGGCCAACATAGCGAAACCCTGGCGCGCACTTGTAAACCCAGCTTCTCGGGAGACTGAGGAAGGAGAATCGCTTGAATCCGGGAGGCGGAGGTTGCAGTGAGCCGATATAGCTAGCGCCACTGCACTCCAGCCTGGGCGACAGAGTGAGACTCCGTCTCAAAAAAAGAGAGAGAATTTGAGGTTTAAGTTGTCTCTCCTTGGTCGCTGTGCAGTCGAGTGTTTTTATGTTCAGACCTCTTCCTGCCCATTTTATTTATTTAATTTATTATTTATTTATTTATTTATATTTTTTGATATGGAGTTTCACTCTTGTTGCACAGGCTGGAGTGCAATGGCGCGATCTCGGCTCACTACAACCTCCGCCTCCCAGGTTCAAGCGATTCTCCTGACTCAGCCTCCCTAGTAGCTGGGATTACAGGTGCCTGCCACCATACCCCACTAATTTTTTGTATTTTTAGTAGAGATGGGGTGTGTGTATACATATATATATATATATATAGCAAGTAGTCAAGAGCTAGTCTATTTTGATAGATAGCATTTCTCATCAGAGTCTCTTGCCGGGCAAGAACAGTCAAGGTTTGACGGTTTTATTAGTAATAATTTCTAAACAGCTTGCAACCATATGATTCGGTTGAGCATGTAGATGGGGGTTCGATATCCTCATGAGCCATCTTGTGTCTAAGTGGCAGGCCTATAGTATTATATAATTTTTTTAGGAGGTCATTTATCATCTTTCCAATTACCTATGGCTATGCTTCGTTTTTCGCAGGAAGCATAGACTGGGAAGCCCAGAAGTTTACCTGTTTTTATGGGCAGTAAGAAGAAAGATGGCTTAATGGTGCCAATTACACAGCTACCTGTCCACTGATCAGGGAGCTTAGCATAAGCTCTGCGTATAACCCGGTGGGGGCTGTCCAGTCCCGGTGGAGTTCTGGGTGGGCCCAAACAGTCTGCAACTTTGGAAATTTACTGAATGGATTTCTTTCTGTGTAATTGGAACTCCACCATGTAACTTTTTGTGGTACCATTATACAGTTTTTGCCCAAGACAACTAAGCCGCCAAACAGGATCTTTTTTATCTTCTTTTTAAGTAGCCCAAATGACACAAGACCAGTATTGACACATCTCACATAAATACAATTCTTGACAGATACACTTATTTTTTTTTTACTGTGTCACTTTTTTTTTCCAATTTAGAGAACCACATCCTATTCCATGCTGCTTACTATCAATAGCGGCACAAGCACCAAATTTTAAGGTTACATTTTTGGGGGCCCCTCTTTTTTCCGTTCTAGCTATTACCTTACTTGTGTCACCTAGAAAAGGACCAGTCCTTAATTTTATTTTAAAAACTGTGATCACGGGAGGCTTAAAATGGGTCATAACACACATCAGGTTGGTTATTCCCTGGGCTACATACCTTGGATAGCATTATACAAACAAGTTTCTTTTAGAGTCCTGGTACACTTATAATAACCATAAAATAATAGGACTGTAGCAATTTTTGTCCTACCTCAGTGACTTGATGTATATACTGGAAACAGTTCTCAATCTGAGGAAGGTCAGTTGAAGTCCTTACTGTACAAGTCCAAATTTTAAGGAAAATGAGTCCCGCAATGAGTTTCCTCATGCTTCGCCTGTGCGTGGACCAGTCAGCTTCTGGGTGTGACTGGAGCAGGGCTTGTCTCCTTCTTCAGAGTGTCACTTTGCAGGGGTTGGCAAAGCCGCCCCCATCCACGTACAGCTCCCAGTCTACTGATGTTTAAGGGAGGTCTCGGAGGTTAGGCCTACTAGAATAAACTGAGTCCAGCACCTCTAAACAGTTATGTTTAACTGGGCTCTCTGTTACCAGGAGTAAGGTGGCTGGGTTAGGGTGTTGGAAACTTCAATGGTTATGTGGGGATTTTCACAGAGCAAGGTTTGGTATCTAGTTAGTCTAGCATTTATTAGCTAATGATGTCCTTTGGTATTTATTAAAGTCACCACAGCATGGGGAGACTTTCTGTTTAGGTTTTGCCTAAGAGTTAGCTCATCTGCTTCTTGTGCTAACAGGGCAGTTGCTGCCAGGGCCCTTGGACATGGGGGCCAGCCTTTGGAAACCCCATCTAGTTGTTTTGAGAGATAGGCCCCTGGCCTTGACCAGGGCCCTACAGTCTGGGTTAAAACTCCAACTGTCATTTTTTCTCTTTCTGACACACAGAGTGTAAAGAGTTTTGTCAGGTCAGGTAGCCTCAGGGCTGGGGCCGACATGAGTTTTTCTTTTTAACTAATGAAAAGCTCTTTGCTGTTGGTTGTAATAGATGTAGTTTATCTAATCTACATTTTTGTTGACTGTCATCTACTAAAATATTGACTTAAATCCTGTAACTATTTGATTTCAAGCTTTAAATTGATCTGGTATTCCTTGTGGGGCTCCAATTGCATTTAAGTAGATGTGAGAATTGAAAGACCTATAAGGGGCTTCTCTCGTTTTATGATGTCTTACTTTTTTTTTCCTCTGGTTGATGAAATGCCAGGGTGAAAGGGATAGCCAAATGGACTAAAGCACAAGTGCCACTCTAGTTATTCAGCAGAGTGCCCAGTAAAGGTCCACCCCGATACCACCACACATCCTCTCGGGGATGAACAAGGGCTGACTGATTGATAAGCTCTTGGAAACTCTTAAGCTCACTGCATCCCTTCAGGTCTCCAAGGAATGCTAAATCTCCTCCCTGCCGTGAGAGACAAGAAGTGAACTTAGTGTTGGGAGATGGAAGCTGGATGGCCCTCGGGGGCTGACCCGCAGAGACTTCGGGATATAGCAGAGAGAGCTTGGCATGACTTATTACTCCAGGCTGTAGAATCCTGGAAAAGAGCTACCATGCAGCCCACACCTGGTCGACTGGAGGACCACCTTAGTGGAAGAGGGACAATCAGGGCCTCTGGCCTGCCATGTGCACAAGCATAACAATTGATTTTGTTTAACGTGCAGATGGAATATTTGATCCATTCCAACCAGGCATTTGCATCTTGGTATGCTGTCTTAACTGCCAAAGTTTGTTTTAAGTCTTTAACTTCTATGATCCTCTAGTAAAATGAATGTTTCCTTTAGCATCTATTTTTATTAGTTTTTAGACCAAAGAAAGCTAAACACCATTTTATATTTAATAATGCTTCTTGTATGATTTTTATACCAGGTAAGCTAAATTTTACCTTTATATTAGTGTGTTATTAATGTTAAACTTAATTTTAATAAAACTTTGTAGACATATTTATCCAATTTTTCATGTTTGACCATAAGGTAAGGTTTTATAGACTCTTTTTAACCTTTTATAATTTTTGTTAAAGAGCAGGTTGATGCTTTAAGAAAAACCTGTCACATTTTTACTTTAATGTCCAGTTCACAGAAAAACTGGATGATACCTTTTTAACTTTAGCTAATATGTTTACACACAGAATTTTCTTTACAATTAACATTTTAAAATTTGCTTACACTTTCAAAACAATAATTTTTTTAACCTTTTAATGTAGGTAAAAATCCACATTCTTATGCCTCCTTATAATCTTTTTACCAAAGGTATATTTTACTTTTCTTATACACCTTGCACATAAACTGTTTTTTTTTTAAATAGTACTCAGGAGGCCTTATTACTTTTAAATTACACAATATTTTTTGCATAAATTTTTTTATAACATTTTTTCTTTCACGACTTTCGCCGACAATTCTTCAACATGTCTCAACTTTCTGACTTATTACAAACATTTTTTTTTCTTTAAACAACCAGTTAATTTATTTCAGGACAAGAATTTACCATATAACACTCTTTTTACATAAATTCTGCCTCCCCCGCTTTTTTTTTTTAAAGTGAACTTTTTTTTTGTCTTTGGACTAGACTGTCTAAGGCCACAAGATTAGAAGTTACCATAATACATGTTATACTGTTAATTTTTAGCAAACTTCACTTTTGTTGAAAACCTTGTAAGTTTGGGATTTCAATTATCCTTTGCTATTAATAAGACCTTGTTTAGTCTAAATTAACTTAGAATTGGTATAGATGGCCTTTTTTTCTCTCTGCTGGTCTTTCCTTGCCTCTGCCAGATGCTTATGCTACTGTTCTCTTAACTACTGTAGGGGGAAGGGGGTCTAAAACCAGCTGTAACTGTCTATGTACAGAAACTGGTCTGGATGCCTTGGCTTACAGGTTACTTTGTGTCATACCTTTGAAACAAGGGACCTGTCCAGGCTTCCTTCTGATGGCCAACCCACCTCTAATGCTGGCCAGTCTATTTCACAAGTTCTAAGTTTTCCTGGTGTCACAGTAACATCGTAATCTCCCTTAAATTCTTTCTTGAAAAAAAATTTTTTTTAACATAGTTCCTAGTGGGGTGGGCTTATTTGTGCCTGACCCATGCTTCTTCGAGACAAAACACCACGCTCACACCACACGTGCACTACAAAACAAAAAAACAGGTAAAAAGGGCACACACACTTTTGCAGTTTACACCAAACCAAAATCAGAGTATCCAAAAACCCAAGCCAGGTCAAAACCAAAACCAAAACCAAAGTATCACACAATCTAAGTCAAGTCAAAACCAGAATAAAAGTGCCAGTACAGGCACACCATGGGTGATCAGGCCATGCTTCCACTCAGATGGAGTGGGGCAAGTTCCAAAGACTAGTCTTACCAAGTTTCAGATGTCCGGACTCCAAGTGCCAGTTCCTTCCCAGTGTTCAGCCAGTGTGTTAATCCTCCTCGGGGGCCTGCTACGTGCTGCTCTGGCGAGGCGTTCCACCCGGGGAATTTCCTACCCGGGAGCGCTCTTTGGATCGCGTCACTCAGGCTGGCCAGAGTCCACCGCAGGGATGCTCCACAGGGCAGGCCTAAGCCACCCAAGGGGCTGCCTTGGCCGTCCGTCAGTTACCTCGCTTCCTGTTCAGGGAACCAAGAAATGTAGCAGGACGAGCCCCAGACAAAACCTTTCAGACACCGAGTTGTAGAAGGAAGGGCTTTATTCAGCTGCGAGCATCGGCAAGCTACTGCCTTAAAATCCAAACTCCCTGAATGCACAATTTCTGTCCCTTTTAAGGTCTCACAACACTAAAGATTTCACATGAAAGTGTCGTGATTGATTTGAGTACGCAGGCGGTACGTGACAGGGGCTGCATGCACTGGTGGTCAGAGAGAAACAGAACAGGGCAGGGAGTGTCACAATGTTCTTCTATACAATGTCTGGAATCTATGAATAACATCGCGTTCTAAGTCATGGGTTGATTTTTAACTACTGGGTTTAGGCCAGGCAGGCCCAGGCCTGGTTTCGGGCCTGGCGCCAGGCTGCCTGTCTTTGGTTTTACTTCCTTGTTTTTTCTTAAAACAGGTACTGAGTATAAAGCAATATAAAACAATACGAAAGGGTCTCTCTCTTCCCTCAAAGGGAATAGGCTGCTGTGGAGAAAGGTAAATAAATGGTGGAAAGAATTACATGGGGGATTAACTAATCTGTACACCAAATCCCCATGACAGGCAATTTACTTCTATAACAAACCTGCTCATGTAAAAGGTTTTTGGCCGGGCATGGTGGCTCACGCCTGTAATCCCAGCACTTTGGGAGGCTGAGGTGGGTGGATCACTTGAGGTCAGTAGTTTAAGACAAGCCTGGCCAACATGGTGAAACTCCATCTCTACTAAAAATACGAAAATTAGCCGGGCATGGTGGCACGCACCCGTAGTCCCAGCTACTCGGGAGGCTGAGGAAAGGGAATGGCTTGAACCTGGGAGGGGAAGGTTGCAGTGAGTCGAGATCATGCCACTGCACTCCAGGCTGGGTGACAGAGTGAGACTGTGTCTCAAAAAAAAAAAAAAAAAAAAAAAGCAAAAAGTTTTTAAAAGAAAATAGTGGAAAGACAGAGACCCTAGAAGAGGGAGAAGGCCTAAGGCAATTTCTTCTTCCTCTCTTCCCCATCATTCTTTCAGCCACTGTGGAGAGAGGGAGAGTACGGGGTGCAGGGTAGATGAGAGTAGACAATTCTGATTATTTGAGGAGGGTTTGTGGTTTAGGAAGTGAGCTTCTCACCGATTTTATTTATTTATTTTGAGACGGAGTCTCACTCTGTCACCCAGGCTGGAGTGAGATCTCAGCTCACTGCAACCTCCACCTCCCGGGTTCAAGTGTTTCTCCTGCCTCAGCCTCAGGAGTAGCTGGGACTACAGGCATGCACCACCATGCCTGGCTAATTTTTTGTATTTTTAGTAGAGATGGGGATTTCACCATGTTGGCCAGGCTGGTCTCAAACTTCTGACCTCAGGTGATCTGCCCACCTCAGCCTCCCAGAGTGCTGGGATTACAGGCGTGAGCCCCGCACCTGGCCTAAAAACTTTTATATTAAGTTCAGGGGTATATGAGCAGGTTTGTTATAGAGCTAAATTGCCTGTCACGGGGGTTTAGTGTACAGATTAGTTAATTCCCCTTGTAATTTTTTCCATCATTTATTTACCTTTCTCCGCAGCAGCCTATTCACCTAACAATAAACTGAGTGCCCATTATGTGCCAAGAACTGGAGATAAGGATATGAGTAAGGAATCTTACTTATCTCCAGTTCTTATAGCATATACTCATTCTGTTTCTCTTTCCTTTGGCCTAGTTTGAGTGCCCAGCAGGTGTTTCAAGTCACTGATTACGTATCTACTCTGCGAAAGTTGTTTGTGCAGCCTGTTTATCCTCTCCTTTGGAACTTCAGTACTCTTTTTTTTTTTTTTGAGACGGAGTCTTGCTCTGTTGCCCAGGCTAGAGTTCAGTGGTGTGATCTCAGCTCACTGCAAGCTCTGCTTCCCGGGTTCATGCCATTCTCCTGCCTCAGCCTCCCGAGTAGCTGGGATTACGGGTGCCTGCCACCACGCCTGGCTAATTTTTTTGTATTTTTAGTAGAGATGGGGTTTCACCATGTTAGCCAGGATGGTCTCGATCTCCTGACCTCGTGATCCGCCTGCCTCAGCCTCCCAAAGTGCTGGGATTACAGGCTTGAGCCACCGTGCCCGTTGTGCCTTGCTAATTTTTTGTATTTTTTTTTTGAGATGGAGTCTCGCTCTGTCGCCCAGGCTGGAGTGCAATGGTGTGATCTGGCTCACTGCAATCTCCACCTCTCGGGTTCAAGTGATTCTCCTGCCTCAGCCTCCCAGGTAGCTGGGACTACAGGCATGTGCCACTACGCCCAGCTAATTTCTTGTATTTTTAGTAGAGATGGGGTTTTACTGTGTTAGCCAGGATAGTCTCCATCTCCTGACCTCGTGGTCCACTGGTCCACCTGCCTTGGCCTCCCAAAGTACAGGAATTACAAGCGTGAGTCACCACACTCAGCCAATTTTTTGTATTTTTAATAGAGATGAGGTTGCACCATGTTGGCCAGGCTGGTCTTGAACTCCTGACCTCAGGTGATCCTTCCACCTCGGCCTCCTAAAATGCTGAGATTACAGGTGTGAGCCACCACACCTGGCCCAATTATCTTATTTATTATCATTATTATTTTTGAGACGGAGTTTTGTTCTTGTTGCCCAGGCTGGAGTGCAATGGCACAATCTCAGCTCACCGCAACCTCTGCCTCCTGGGTTCAAGTGATTTTTCTGCCTCAGCCTCCTGAGTAGCTGGGATCACAAACCCCTGCCACCACCCTCGGCTAATTTTGTATTTTTGGTAGAGACAGGGTTTCTCCATGTGGGCCAGGCTAGTCTCAAACTCCTGACCTCAGGTGATCCGCCCACCTCGGCCTCCCAAAGTGCTGGGATTACAGGCATGAGCCACAGCCCCCGGCTACTTTTTATTATTAACATTAAAATATTTTTGTTTAATTAATTTATTTATTTTTAAAATTATTATTATTACTTTTTTTACTTTAAGTTCCAGGATACATGTGCAGAATGTGCAGGTTTGTTACATAAGTATACATGTGCCATGGTGATTTCTGCACCTATCAACCTGTCATCCAGGTTTTAAGCCCCGCCTGCATTGGGTATTTGTCCTAATGCTCTCCCTCCCTTTGTCCCCAACCCTATTTTATTTTTTTGAGACAGAGTCTCCCTCTATTGCTCAGGCTGGAGTGCAGTGGTGTGATCTCAGCTCACTGCAACTTCCACCTCCCAGGGTCAAGCGATTTTCCTCTCTCAGCCTCCTGAGTAGCTGGGACTACAGGTACACACCACACACCTGGATGATTTTTGTATTTGCTTGCAGAGACAGGGTTTCGCCAGGCTGGTCTCAAATTCCTGACCTCAAGTGATCCACCCACTTTGGCCTCCCAAAATGCTGGGATTACAGGCGTGAGACACCGTGCCCAGCAAAAATATTTTTATTTTAAAATTTATTAAATTTATTAAAATTTTATTTTAAAATTTCACCATTTACAAAAAGTGAAATGATCAGATCTTTAGCAAATCCATCAATGAATTTTGACAAGTACATGTCACCCACACCCCTGTCAAGATATAAAAAGTTCTCTTTGCCCTCTTTGATTCTGCCCTACCCCTGAGTAGCCATGGATCTGATGACTATCACTATAGAGCAGTTTTTCCTAATTTTTTTTTTTTTTTGAGATGGAGTCTCATTCTGCCACCCAGGCTGGAGTGCAATGGCGCGATCTCGGCTCACTGCAACCTCTGCCTCCTGGGTTCAAGAGATTCTCCTGCCTCAGCCTCCTGAGTAGCTGGGAGTACAGGTGTGAGCCATCATGACTGGCTAATTTTGTACTTCCAGTAGAGATGGGGTTTCGCTATGTTCACCAGGCTGGTCTCAAACTCCTGACCTCAGGTGATCCACCCGCCTCGGCCTCCCAAAGTGCTGGGATTACAGGTGTGAGCCACTGTGCTGGGCTGCCTGTTTTAAAACTTCCTATAAATGCATGCATAGGTATGGCCTCTTTTGTGTCTGGCTTTTTGTATTTGGCATAATATCTATGTAATCCATCCATGTTGTTGCACCTATCAGTAGTTCATTCTTTCTTTAAAAAAAAAAAATTTTTTTTTTTAAATTTTGAGACAGTCTCACTGTCTTAGGCTGCAGTGCAGTGGTGAGATCTCAGGTCACAGCAACCTCCACCTCCCAGGTACAAGCATTTCTTCTGCCTCAGCCCCCTGAGTAGCTGGAACTACAGGTGTGTGCACCACCACGCCTGGCTAATTTTTGTATTTTTAGTACAGATGGGATTTCCCAGCTACTCCAGAGGCTGAGGCAGGAGAATCACTTGAACCCAGAAGGCAGAGGTTGCAGTAAGCCAAGATCGCACCATTGCACTCTAGCCTGGGCGGCAAGAGTGAAACTCTGTCTCAAAAAAAAGCCAGGTGTTGTGGCTCACACCTGTGGTCCCAGCTAGTGGGGAGCCCAAGAGTTCAAGCCTTCAGTGAGTGGTAGTCATACTAGTATACCCCAGCCTGGGTGACAGAGTGAAACCTTGTCTCAGAAAGAAAAAAAAAAACAAGATGAAGGAAAGCATATGTAGTTTGCTAAAATTTATGTGGAAAGAGGGAAATTATATGTATATACACACACACTTATATTTGCTTGCATATGCATAAAACGTCTAAGTTTGTTTGGTTTTTTTGGGACAGAATCTGACTGTCACCCAGGCTGGAGTGCAATGGTGCAATCTCAGCTCACTGCAACCTCCGCCTCCCGGGTTCAAGTGATTCTCCTGCCTCAGCCTCCCAAGTAGCTGGATTACAGCCTTCTGCCACCACGCCCACTAATGTTTTGTATTTTTAGTAGAGACAGGGTTTTGCCATGTTTTCCAGGCTAGTCTCGAACTCCTTACCTCAGGTGATCCGCCCGCCTCGGCCTCCCAAAGTGCTGGAATTACAGGCGTGGGCCACCAAGCCCGAACAAATGTCTTAAGTTTGTTTTCTTTCTTTCTTTAATTAATTAATTAATTTATTTATTTTTCGAGACGGAGTCTTGCTCTTGTCGCCCAGGCTGGAGTGCAATGGCAAGATCTCGGCTCACTGCAACCTCTGCCTCCCGGGTTCAAGTGATTCTCCTGCCTCAGCCTCCCAAGTAGCTGGGATTACAGATGCCCACCACCACACCCGACTAATTTTTGTATTTTTAGTAGAGACGGGGGTTTCATCATGTTGGCCAGGCTGGTCTCGAACTCTTGACCTTGTAATCCACCTGCTTCGGCCTCCCAAAGTGCTGGGATTACAGGCTTGAGCCACTGCACCCGGCCAAGACAGAGACTTTTTGCCTTTTGAACCTTTTGAATTTTTAACCAAGTGAAAACACAAAAGGTAATTCCAAGGAGGAAAAAAACCCAAAAAACTCATAGTGAAAATTTAAGAAAAAAACTCAGCCTGATAGAATTCTCTTACCTTCATTAAGAGAAAACAAAAATTGTAGCTGGGGCCAGGCGCGGTGGCTCACGCCTGTAATCCCAGCACTTTGTGAGGCAGAGGCAAGCGGATCACGAGGTCAGGAGATGGAGACCATCCTGGCTAACACGGTGAAACCCTGTCTCTACTAAAAATACAAAAAATTAGCCGGGTGTGGTGGCGGGCACCTATAGTCCCAGCTACTCAGGAGGCTGAGGCAGGAGAATGGCGTGAACCCGGGAGGCAGAGCTTGCAGTGAGCCAAGATCGTGCCACTGCACTCCAGCCTGGGTGACAGAGCGAGACTCCATCTCAAAAAAAAAAAAAAAAATTGTCTAAAAATTATATCACTCCTTTTTTTTTTTTTTTTTGAGATGGAGTCTTGCTGTGTTGGCCAGGCTGGAGTGCAGTGATGCAATCTTGGCTCACTGCAACCTCTGCCTTAAGAGCTCGAGCAATTCTCTTGCCTCCTGAGTAGCAGGGACTACAGTTGCATGCCACCATGCCCAGCTAATTTTTGTATTTCTAGTAGAGATGGGGTTGCACCATGTTGACTAGGCTGGTCTTGAACTCCTGACCTCAAGCGATCCACCGTGGCCCACCCTCAGCCTTTCAAATTTCTGGCATTACAGGCATGAGCCACTGCTCCCAGCCAAACCGCAGTCTTTACAAAGGATTCTTTTTTTTTTTTTTTTTCTGATGGAGTTTTGCTGTTGTTGCCCAGGCTGGAGTGCAAGGATGCAATCTTGGCTCACTGCAATCTCTGCCTTCCATGTTCAAGTGATTCTCCTGCTTCAGCCTCCCCAGTAGCTGAGATTACTGGTGCATGCTACCACACCCAGCTAATTTTTAGTAGAGATGGGGTTTCACCATGTTGGCCCGGCTGGTCTCGAACTCCTGACCTCAGATGATCCACCCTCCGCGGTCTCCCAAAGTGCTGTGATTACAGGTGTGAGCCACCATGCCTGGCCTTTACAAGGGATTCTAATGGTCTAATGCGACAGTTGTGGCTTCAGTGAGCTCAGGGTGCCCTCTGGTGTCCATGTGGGCCCAAGGATGTGATATTTAGAAAAAACACTTGTAATTCTGGGGGACATGTAATTGAAGCCACTTGCCAACTTTTCAAGATTCTTATTTTTTTTTTTTTTTTTTGGAGACAGAGTCTCGCTCTGTTGCCCCATCTGGAGTGCAGTGGTGCAATCTTCTCGGTTCACTGCAACCTCCGCCTCCCTGGTTCAAGCGATTCTCTGCCTCAGCCTCTGGAGTAGCTGGGACTACAGGTGCATGCCACCATGCCTGGCTACTTTTTGTATTTTTTGCAGAGACAGGGTTTCACCATGTTGGCCAAGGTGGTCTGGAACTCCTGGCCTCAAGTGATCCATTGGCCTTGGTCTCCCAAAGTGCTGGGATTACAGGTGTGAGCCACCATGCCCGGCCTTTTTATTTTATTTTATTTTTTTTGAAACAGAGTCTCACTTTTTTGCCCAGGCTGGAATGTTGGTGGCCTGATCTCTGCTCACTGTAACCTCCACCTCCCGGGCTCCAGCGATCCTCCCACCTCAGCCTCCCAAGTGGCTGGGATTACAGGCGTGCGCAACCAAAGATTCTCATTCTTAGCCCATTCTGTTATCCCTATGAGTCTGCTAATAGTTGTCATACTAGGTCACCCTGTATTTGGATCAGAAGGTATGGTAGGAGTGCCTAGGGTCATATCCCAGGCCCAAACAGCTGAGGGCAGTAGAGTAAGGCCTGCAGGTCAATGCTTCGAGGAGGGGTGGGAAGGATTGAGGGTGTGGGGGCCAGACTGTGTAGTGGCAGGAACCCCAGGTGCTGTGTGAAGCAGAGAGCATGCATCACCCTCTGACCCACATTCAGTTTCTTCCTGGGTGTCTGCAATTCCCGGGACTCCCAAGGAATTCAAATGCTGCAGCCTTGGGCTTGCGAATTCTCCAGGATGGGCAGAGTATGGTCTTATTTATCCTACACTTCTGCCTCATAGTGCTCTCCCAGTCCTCTTCTGTTATTAGAGATCAAACCAGGTTGCTTTAGGGCAGTGATTCTCAAAGTGTAGTCCTGGGACAAACAGCACTGGCATCACCTGGAAACTTCTTAGAAATGCAATTCTCAGCTGGGCGCAGTGGCTCACGCCTGTAATCCCAGCACTTTGGGAGGCTGAGGCGGGCGGATCACCTGAGGTCAGGAGTTCGAGACCAGCCTGGCCAACATGGTGAAACCCTGTCTCTACTAAAAATACAAAAAATTAGCCGAGCGTGGTGGCAGGCGTCTGTAATCCCAGCTACCTGGGAGGCTGAGACAGGAGAATCACTTGAACCCGGGAGGCGGAGGTTGCAGTGAGCCAAGATTGCGCCATCGCACTCCAGCCTGGGGGACAATAGCAAGACTTCGTCTCAAAATAAATAAATAAATAAATAAATAAAAAAGGAAATGCAATTCTCTGGCCTGGCCCACACATATTATATCAGAAACTGCAGTTTAACCTCCCCCCACCCCTGGAGAATTCTGCTTTTCGAATCAGGCCTTTCTCTTTTTCTGTCTGTCTTAAGTCTCAACATTGAGTAGCTGTGATTTTGGAATAGTCAGATGTGGGACACCCTTTCTTGCCAGGAAGCATCTGGCTCCTCAGTCAGCTTAGTCTGATTCTTGGCCTGGCCCAGGGAAAGAAATTCATGTTCTGGATTCTGAGCAATGCTCTCTTGTCCCAGGTGCCTGTTGGGCTCCTACTTACACCTCAAAACATAGCTTGAACATTGTCTCTTTTGTGAACTTTCTGTGACTCCTAGGTCAGAGAAGATGGTCTACTTGTGAGTTTGCAAAGCATGTGTACATGTCCTGCCAACCATTAGTGTTAAAATTTCCTGACTGATCTCTGCCTGAGCAAGACTGGGACAACCTTGAGCGCAAGGGAGGTTTGGTTCCTCTTACCTCAGCCCCAGCTCCTTAAACACAATGCCTGGCACGTGGTAGGTATTTGATAAATATTTATTCAATGAAGGAACTGCCTGCAATGGCCTGGTAGACAGGAAAGCGGAATGAAAGCAGGCCAAAAGTGGCTGGGAGAAGATTTTCTAAATCCCGATGTTGGGCACAGGGACCCCTGAAGTTTTCTTTTGGAACCTTCCTATCTGTCTTGTTCTCCTCTCACCAGGCACATCCCTGCCCTCCAGAGCCCACTTAGTCACACACTACCTTTCAGGACTACCTTCCACATCAGCCAGGTGCAAACCCCACAATGACTTCTGCCATGGCTCCCAATGCTTGGCTGCAACTCTGAGGCCAATTTCAGTGAGAGTAAGGAGCTTATCCAATGGAAGTGTCACTAGGAGTGACAATGGCTGGCTTGAAGATTAGGGAAATAGTGTTTACATTTCAAAAGAGAAGACTGCTCCACAAGGAATGTACAGTTTTGATATGTGCAGGGCTCAGGTCTTCAGGGGATAAATAAGTTCCTAAATGCGCCATCAACAGGAATTTCCTTCAGGATAAGTAGGAAAAGAACATTTAGGCTTTTTAATTAAAATTTTATTTTACATGTTTTTAAAATTCACAATAGATATTTTATCCTAAAATAAAGTAAAACCGAGAGGTGACAGCGTGCTGGCAGTCCTCACAGCCCTCGCTTGCTCTCCGCGCCTCCTCTGCCTGGGCTCCTACTTTGGCGGCACTTGAGGAGCCCTTCAGCCCACCGCTGCACTGTGGGAGCCCCTTTCTGGGCTGGCCAAGGCCGGAGCCCTCTCCTTCAGCTTGCGGGGAGGTGTGGAGGGAGAGGCGCGAGCGGGAACCGGGGCTGTGTGCCGCGCTTGCCGGCCAGCTGGAGTTCCGGGTGGGCGTGGGCTTGGCGGGCCCCGCACTCGGAGCAGCCGGCCAGCCCTGCTGGCCCCTGGCAATGAGGGACTTAGCACCCGGGCCAGCAGCTGCGGAGGGTGTACTGGGTCCCCCAGCAGTGCCAGCCCACCAGCGCTGCGCTCGATTTCTCACCGAGCCTTAGCTGCCTTCCCGCGGGGCAGGGCTGGGGACCTGCAGCCCGCCATGCCTAAGCCTCCCACCCACTCCAAGGGCTCCTGTGCGGCCCGAGCCTCCTCGACGAGCGCCGCCCCCTGCTCCAGGGCGCCCAGTCCCATCGACCACCCAAGGGCTGAGGAATGCAAGCGCACCGTGCGGGACTGGTAGGCAGCTCCACCTGCAGCCCCGGTGCGGGATCCACTAAGTGAAGCCAGCTGGGCTCCTGAGTCTGGTGGGGACGTGGAGAGTCTTTATGTCTAGCTCAGGGATTGTAAACACACCAATCAGCACCTTGTGCCTAGCTCAGGGTTTCTGAGCGCACCAATCCACACTCTATCTAGCTGCTCTGGTGGGGCCTTGGAGAACCTTTATGTCTAGCTCAGGGATTGTAAATACACCAATCGGCACTCTGTATCTAGCTCAAGGTTTGTAAACACACCAATCAGCACCCTGTGTTTAGCTCAAGGTTTGTGAATGCACCAATCTACACTCTCTATCTAGCTGCTCTGGTGGGGCCTTGGAGAACCTTTGTGTCCATACTGTGTATCTAACTAATCTGATGGGGACTTGGAGAACCTTTGTGTCTAGCTCAGGGATTGCAAACGCACCAATCAGCACCCTGTCAAAACAGACCACTCGGCTCTACCAATCAGCAGGATGTGGGTGGGGCCAGATAAGAGAATAAAAGCAGGCTGCCCGAGCCAGCAGTGGCAACCTGCTTGGGTCCTTTTCCACACTGCTAAAGCTTTGTTCTTTCACTCTGTAATAAATCTTGCTACTGCTCACTCTTTGAGTCCATAGTGCTTTTATGAGCTGTAACACTCACTGTGAAGGTCTACAGCTTCACTCCTGAAGCCAGCAAGACCAAAAGCCTACCGGGAGAAACGAACAACTCCAGACGTGCCGCCTTAAGAGCTATAACACTGACCGCGAAGCTCTGTAGCTTCACTCCTGAGCCAGCGAGACCACGAACCCACCAGAAGGAAAAAACTCAGGACACGTCCGAACATCAGAAGGAACAAACTCCAAACGTGCCACTTTAAGAGCTGTAACACTCACCGCGAGGGTCCGCAGTTTCATTCTTGAAGTCAGTGAGATCAAAAACCCACCACTTCCAGACACAAAACTTGCTTAATTACAGAAAATATGAAAAGTACATAAAAGTAGGGTCTCACTCTGTCGTCCAGGCTGGAGTGCAGTGGTGTGATCACGGCTCACTGCAACCTCAAACTCCTGGTCTCACACGATCCTCCTGCCTCGACTCCGAAAACGCTAGTTTTACAGGTATGAATCATAGCGCCAGCTCTTACTGTCTCTCTTCAACACGTCCTCCCATCCTTCCCTCCTTTCTCCACTCTGCATTTGACCCCAGTGTATTCCAGCCTCCAGGCCAACACACGTGACCACGTCTGCCTGGGGCAGGTGAAGTAAAGGACGCGAGGCGGCGCTGTCACCGCATTCTGTAAACCGCAGCGCTCTGGGTCCCTCCCGCTGGTCTAGTATCATTTCAGTGAACGTCACTCTACATTTTTTTTTTTTTTTTTTTGTGAGATGGAGTCTCACTCTGTCGCCCAGGCTGGAGTGCAGTGGCGCGATCTCGGCTCCCTGCAAGCTCCGCCTCCCGCGTTCACGCCATTTTTCTGCCTCAGCCTCCGAGTAGCTGGGACTACAGGCGCCTACCACCACACCCGGCTAATTTTTGTATTTTTAGTAGAGAAGGGGCTTCACCATGTTGGCCAAGCTGGTCTCGAACTCCTGACCTCAAGTGATCCGCCCGCCATGGTCTCCCAAAGTGCCGGGATTACAGGCGTGAGCCACCGCGCTCGGCTGTCACTGCAGACTTTGATGGGGGCCACACTCGGGGTATAAATTAGGATCCTCACTGAAAGGGCGGGACCATGGAGGCTTTTTCTTGGCCCCTTAGTTGTGGGTTTTCCTCTGGGCGGCGAAGCCAGTTTCCATCAGAACGGCCCAGAGGCGGGCGCTGCCTTCCTGGGGTGACGCAGCAGCAGGAAGAGTTTCCGGATCCTGGAATCCGTGGGCGGCCCGTGGGAGGGGCTGAGGCTCATTTCTCTACTCACCTGTCTCCGAATCCGCCGTGGTGTTTCAAGCGAGTCAAGATTCCAGATCGCGCCCCAGGCTGGACTCGGAATTACTGCCCCGCGGGTCTGCATTTTCACAGCGGCAGGTGTGAGTTCCCCGCCGCTGGAGACCAGAAGCCTGAAGGCAGCTCCGCCCACCCCAGCCCACAGCGCCGTTATTCCGTTTCTATATCAGTAAACACTTGTCATTTTCCGTAGACCAGGGCGGGGTGACGGGTGATCCCAGTCCTCGCAGTGAACTCTGGGGCGCAGAATTCAAAACGCCTGCGGTCGCTGAGCGCAGCCCCGCCCTGGGTTATGTAAGTGACAGCGCTGGGCCGTTTCTCTTTTTTTTCCGGACCCCGCAGTGGCGCCTAAAGTCTGCAAGGAGGAGGTCGCCTCTGTGCTGTGAGTCCAGGAATCTAAGGCGAGTGCTGAGGGAGAAAATGTAGTTGATGGGGCAGAGCAGAAGGGGCTGTAGGTGGGTTGGAGGGGGAGGGGAACGGGCAGCCAGGCCTGGACCCTGGGGAGTGACTCACCCGGAGCCGAAGACCATCTCAGCTTTCCCTAGCCCAGAAAGGGTGGGACTGGCTTTATTTCTGCCTGCCATCACCTCAAAATGCCGTGGGACAAATCTTACATATTATTATTGTTATTTATTTATGTATTTTATTTTTTTTGAGACAGTCTTGGTCTGTCACCCAGACTGGAGTGCAGTGGCGCCATCTGGGCTCACTGCAACCTCCGCCCCCCCGGGTTCAAGCAATTCTTCCTGCCTCAGCCTCCCAAGTAGCTGCGATTACAGGCACCCCCCACCACGCCCGGCTAATTTTTATATTTTTAGTAGAGACGGGGTTTTGCCATGTTGTCCAGGCTAGTCTCGAACTCCTGACCTTAGGTGATCCACCCGCCTCGGCCTCCCAAAGTGCTGGGATTACAGGTGTAAGCCACCGCGCCTGGCCGGGAAATATCTCTTACAGAAATAAAGACAGTTGGCTGGGTGTGGTGGCTCACCTGTAATCCTAGCACTTTGGGAGGGTGAGGCAGGCAGATGGTTTGAGCCTAGGAGTTTAAGACCAGCCTGGGCAAAATGGTGAAACCCCTTCTCCACCAGAAATACAAAAAATTAGCCAGGTGAGGTGGCTCATGCCTGTAGTCCCAGCTACTCTGGAAGCTGAGGTGGGAGGATCACCTGAGCCTGGGGAGGTCGCGGCTGCAGTGAGCCATGATTAACCCACAACTGCACTCCGCCTGGGTGACAGAGTGAGGCCCTGTGTTAAAAAATAAGAAAGAAAGAAGAGAGAGAGAGAGGAAGGGAGGGAGGGAGGGAGGGAGTTGAGGTTCAGAATATGTAACAGTGTTTATTGCTATACTCCATTCAATGGACTACGGACTATTATGCAGTGATTTAAAAGTAGGAGTTTGGGCTCACACCTGTAATCTCAGCATTTGGGAGGCTGAGGTAGGCGGATCACTTGAGGTCAGGAGTTCGAAACCAGCCTGGTCAACATGGTGAAACCTCGTTTCTACTAAAAATACAAAAATTACCCTGGCATGGTGGCACACGCCTGTAATCTCAGTTACTTGGGAGGCTGAGGCAGGAGAATCACTTGAACTTGGGAGGTGGAGGTTGCAGTGAGCTGAGATTGCATCACTGCACTCCAGCTTGGGGGACAAGAGCAAAACTCCGTCTCAAAAAAAAAAAAGATATTTCCCACCTTGGATTGCTGGGTCGGGGGGTGGTGGGTATTTTCATTCATAATTGTCAGATTACTTTCATAAACAATGGAAACAGTTTCAAGCTCCTCAGCTTCTCACCTCCAAAATGGGCCTTTTCCTGTATCATTAACAGTCCTCAATGTTCTGGCTAATCAACTGAGCGACTGTTTATAGATTTGCAGGCCATTTGGATTTACAATTAATCTTATTAATGAGGCTGAAATGTGAAGTTTATCTCAGCCTCAAGGAAGTAATTCAGCAAGGATCAGTGGTTTCACTTAACAGTCTGGCTCTGAGGCTGGCTGTGACCCTGTTATCCATGGTGAGCACCATGGGAATGCAGGCAAGGGCTGTGAGAGGCTTGGAACAAGGCTCCACCCAGGAGAGATCTGGGTGGGCGTTGGTGACCAGTAGAACCTAGGTGTCCTGGCCCAGTGCCCTTGGAGACTAGTCTTCTTTACCCCAGGCATCTTCTTTATTCTGGAATGAGCCTGCCCATCCCTCAGGAAGACTGAAAGGAATTCGGTCAGAAGAATATTATTGACTTTTGTCCAGACTTGATTTCAGTAGAGTTCTGGGACCTGCCATATCCTATGGGTGAGCTCTATCCAGGTCCCCTTCCCTGAATTACCTGTCCTCTCCCCACTGACTGGGATGACACTTAATTTTACAACCTGCTGTAGCATCTTTGCTCCCACTGTGACAGTAAACTCCTTGAGACTGGTGGCCATCTTGGGAAGTGATTAGATTCAGAAGAGGTTGAGAGGTTGGGGCCCCCATGATGGGATTAGTGTCCTTTTAAGAAAAAGAAGAGACTGGAGCTCCCACTCTCTTCACCACGTGAGGATATGGCAAGAAGGCAGCTGTCTGCCAGGCAGGAAGAGGGCCCTCACCAGGAACTGAATCTGCTGGTTCCCTAACCTCAGATTTCCAGGGTCCAGAATTGTGAGAAAGAAATGTCTGTTGTTAACCAATCCATCTGTGGTGTTTTGTTATGGCAGCACAAGCTGACTAAACAAGTGCCAAAACCAAACCAGTAACTCCCACTTTCTAGTCTCGGACCCAGTATTAAGGAATTCTGGTCACATAGTTTATTCATCCATTTAACAAATATTTAGTAAGTGCTTCTGTGCCAGGCATTTTTCTAGGCCTGGTGATCATTTAATCAAAAGAGACTAACACCTGCTCCCTGATGCTTACAATCTGAAAGACAATAAGGAAAAATATAATAACAGTAGTGAATTATATGGATGTGTTCCAGCAATTGATTGCTGAGCAAAAAATAATCTTAACGCATACAAACGCCGGGCATGGTGGCTCACACCTGTAATTCCAGCACTTTGGGAGGCTGAGGTGGGCAGATCACAAGGTCAAGAGTTCGAGACCAGCCTGGCC